>NC_000015.10:85835217-85986732 GCF_000001405.40 Homo sapiens | reverse complement strand
TATACAGATCATGCTATCTACACTTTTTAATTTTAATAAAGTGTTATTCAAAGAAATCCATTTCATTCAAAGATTTGGTTTTTAAAAATAAAATGATTACATTTTTTACCCACTGATCATTTCAAACATGATTTGATATTCAAACAGATATGAATATAAAATGCAAAATTCACATAAATAGTTTTCAAATAAAACATGGAAATATTCCAAGAAATTTCATGCCTGGGGCCAACTTTGCAGGGCTCTTCCCATAGGGTGGCACCTTTGATGGAAAAGCCTGAGAAACACTGGCTTCGAGGAAGTCATTCTAAAGCCAGGGCAGCCGTCCTTTGGCCACAACTTGGAAGAGCTGTATGCAAACTGGAGTGGAAGGAAAGACTCTTTCTAGAGGGAATGCCAGCTGCAGTCATAAGAAAGCTCTCTCCCCCTGCCAAGGGAATCCAGATGACTTCCTTTAACATAACTGGCGTATTCCCCAGAGTAAAGACATCTTCCCTGATGTCCCAGGCCCCACGTGCCTGGTCTCTTCCTTATGGCTGGTCTTGACTTGCCCTCTCTGTACTTCTCATTCATTAAACTCCAGATCTCCCCTCCATGGCTTGGATGATCAGGTCAACCTCAGACGCCCTCTTTGAAGCATGGTTTTCCATGCCTGAGTTCCGGCCTGGGCACTGTGGGTGAGAGGCTTGTTGCCTCATCACTCAAGCTTCTTCCCCTTGTTCTGCCTCTTCCAGCAAAAGGAAATTGTGCATGATCAAAAACAAAATGTCTACAAAAGTAAAAGGGTCCTTCCAATCAAGATTCATAAAACATTTTTAAAACAATGATAGCAGTTGCCTCAATTCCAAAATAATATAAACCTTACTCTCATGGTTTAATGCCTTTGCCAAAAAGGCACTTCAGTAAATCCAACTAAAACTCTTTAGCCTGACATTTGAAGCTAAGTCTCTGCTCTACAATGCCCTCCACACCCAATTCTGGGACCTGCTATTTAGCGTTTCACTAATTGATATCCATCTATCGAGAGCAGACCATGAGCTGGGACTGCCCTGAGTGTGGTATAGGAGACAGGCCAGGTGCTGCCCTCGTGGGGCAGTCATTCTAAAAGGGAGTGATGAAAGAAAATATCTGGAGATGATATGTGCTAGGAGGAAAATAAAACATGGCATAGACAATCGAGAATAACTAGAGACTCGGGTGGCCCAGCAAGGCCTCACTGAGAGGGGGATTAGAGGCGAGACGTGCAAGGAAACCACTTCATACCGATCTGAAGGAAAAGCATTCCAAATAAAGCAAAGGTGCAATGCAAAGGCTTAGGTGAAGGGCATGTTTGGTGGGTCTGAGAAACTATAAGAACGTGAGAATGGCTGGAGCATGTCGGCTTAGAAGGAGATGGTGCAGATAAGGTTTGAGAAGCAGGCAGGGCCCTGGTCGTGCAGAATCTTGTAGTTCAGGAAAAAGAATTTGGATTCTATTTTGAGTGGGAAGAGACACTATTGGAGGGCTTTAAGAAGAAAAGTGACATGACCCCAGGTGAGAATCCCACATCAGCCCCTTACTCATCCCGTGTCTTTGGGTAACTCACTTAACACCTCTAATCTTGCTCAGCCTTAGTTTTAGAACCTACTTCTTTAGGTTATTATGATAAATAAAGGGATGATCTATAGATAAGCCACTACTCAGTCTCTAGCCCAACAAGAATATGGCAAGTCTTAGTACCAGACGCAGCTGCCTGATTCTGTTCAGCTGGAAGGGCTTCCGCCAGCCTCCAGCCTCCCCTAGCAACCTATTTGTTTGCCTCACAGTCTGTATCACTTTCCATCTTTCTGTATATTTTTCCTCTTCCCCTAGTAGTAAGTGACTACCTTGTGAGTTAAGATTATATCTTACTCATTTCTGGGTCTTCCACAAAACTAACTTCAATGTATTCCACAGAGTTAAAAAGGTAAGTATTTATTGAATGAATCTATGGATTAAAAAAAAAAAAAAAACAGCTAACAATGGTGCTTGGTACCCTTACGTTTTTGCATGGAGAAAAGACATGCACATTCACATGTCAACCGTGAGCTGGAAATCTATTTTCTTGGCAAGGAGAGATAATGAGAGAAGTGTGTGCAAAGGCCTTCAGGGGATGAACCTTGGAGGCCCATGTCATAATTTCAAAATAAAGAGCCAAAAATGGAGAGCAGTGATTTCCACTTTTCTATCTGATGTGTGGCTCGGCTAAATGAGGGTGTCAGGTCCACCCTCCCTCGCAGCTCTCCTCCCTCCTGGGATGGGAACCAGCACTTAAACCTCAGTCCCTCCAGCCAGTGCTGAGTCAGCCCAACCTAGATGGAGCAGACAGGAGCCATCCAGGCCCCAGTAGAGGCGAAATCTGGACATAGCCTTATCACTATTTTAAAAATAGAAATAAACAAACGTGAATAAAAAATATCATTCAAGCTTTTGCTGTGCACCTATTACTGTACCAGCACTTTGATTTTTTTAATTTTGTTTATTTAAGAATCATTACCCTCAAGACAGCTTTTTGAGTGCAGGCATTTGTCCAGTTTTGCACTGCAGGTGAGTAGAGAACCTAGGGATCAAACACAGGCCTGTGTAACTCCTAAGACCCTGATGTAAAACTGGGGTGTCCTGGGTATCTGCTTTGCCAGCCTAGCTGCTACTTTTTTTTGTTTGTTTGTTTTTTGAGACAGAGTCTCACTTTGTTGCCCAGGCTGGAGTGCAGTGGTGAAATCTCAGCTCCCTACAACCTCCACCTTCCAGGTTCAAGCAATTCTCGTGCCTCAACCTCGCGAGTAGCTGGGATTACAGGTGTCCTCCACCACACCTGGCTGATGTTTGTAATTTTAGTGGAGATGATGGGGTTTCACCATGTTGGCCAGGCTCCTCTCAAACTCCTAACCTCAAGTGATCCGCCTGCCTCGGCCTCCCAAAGTGCTGGGATTGCAGGCGCGAGCCACCATGCCTGGCCACTGCTGCCTTTTTTAACTCCTACCTTTTTACCCCACGCATATGCCTGGGTTTGTGCCCATTTTCCTGATTAGCCCAAACACAAACCAGGGTCTCAGGCTCTACCTTGGAAGCTACAAAGCTGACTGTCTCTGCCTATCTCTTGGACATTTTTTATGCTAAGAGGCAGGACCCTGGCTCTCTTGGCCTTGCCTTTGAGAGTGCAGCCTGAGGGTGATGTTATACTTGAGGGTGAAGTCGACTGCAGGATGACAGGTTGGTTTCCCTGGTCCAGCTATGCTACGTAGGACTTCCTTTTCTTCTATCACCACCTCTTCCTGAATATTCCAGTTAAGCCACAGGCTTTCCCAATCTAAGCTGAGACTCTCTTTAGAACAAGGCAAGAGCACGTGGCCATTAGCACTATCGTAGTCCACGTTGTTCTGAATGATACCTGTGTGCCTCTTAGACTACCGTACACGGAATGTCAGGGTATCCTAGTTGTCCTGTCTTGTGCGTCAACTTTTTGCATTTCCAGATGTTAGAACAGATGGACAGCTAAGTAAAGCATCCTTCCTGCTATCAAAGTCTTGCAAACTTGTCAAGGAAACATGGAAAATTACATAATAACAAATGGTTTCACAAGCCAGCCAATAGAGAAGTAGAGAATGTGTGAGGAAATATTCCTTGGGCTGAGTTCTTGGGTCTGTTAGCTTGTGAGACTTTCTTTATCCTCAAGGTTTACCAGAAATTTTACCAGGTTATGCATAAATCTGTCTGAATTCTATATCCTTGTCTGGAGTTTGGTGAAAACTCTTGATGTGAAGATTCAAAGAATTTGTTTCCACTTTAGAAATGTTTTGCTTTTATTTTTATTTATTTATTTATTTAGCTATTTAATTCTGTTTCTTTTTTGTTTTGTGGAACCAATGTTGGAGCTCCTGGACCTATTTTTCAAGTCTCTCATCTTGTCCCATGAGAGTTCCCTCTCTTTATATTTTTGTTCTGTTCCAGTTATTTCTTCCTGATCTTCCAAGGCCACCGATTGAGGTCTCATCTTCTCATTTGATTCATATATCAGATTTTTTAGTTGGCAAACTATATGTTTTTGGTACCAAAGAGTCTTTTTCTTCAATACTTAAATATCCTCGCATAGTGCAGTAGGTTGGAAGTCATGTCCACCCAGAACTTGAAATGTGACCTTATTTGGAAACAGTGTCTTTGCAGATGTTTAAAAGTTGTCCTACTGGATTAGGGTGGGCCCTAATCCAATGACTGATGTCCTCATTTTTAAAAAGAGAGAGAGAGAGGATACACAGATATACACAGAAATGAAGGCCATGTGGCAATGGAGGCAGAGGTTGAAGTGATGCTACCACAAGCCAAGCAACACCAGGAGTCACCAGAAGCAGGAAGAGGCAAGGACAGGTGGGCCCCTAGAAACTTCAGAGGAAGCATAGCCCTGCTGACTCCTTGGTTTTGGACTTCTGGCCTCCAGAACTGTAAAAGAATAAATCACTGTTGTTTTAAACCACCATGTTTGTGATGATTTGTTACAGCAGTCCTAGGAAATGAATATACGTTTTTAATTTTAGCTGAAGTTGTCTATTCTGGCCACTCTATTTCAGGTACTCCTTCTGTGTGTTTTGTGGATTCCTCCTCTCCAGCTCCTGGGTTCCTTTGCATGTGTTTTTATTCTCCTGTCCTCTGCTCGCTAGGGTTAAGGCAGAGTTACCATGGTACCCTGCACAAAGGCAACCCTGAGAGCAATGAGAAACACAGCCATCTCCTCCTCCGTTGTGGACACACAGTGTGCATGTGACTGCCAGTGTATGAAAGGCAAGTAGAAGCCAGCACTCACCCAGAGAAGACCCAATGCCCGTGACCTTACCAGGAGCAAGAACAGTCAATCCTATGCACAGGTAGGAACAGTTCCATCCACCGAGGCCACACACCTCTGCAGACCAGGCTCCCTCCAGAATTCACCGTCTTCAAAGTGGTTCTCTCTCCAGGATCTCAAACTTGCCTTCTCAGTCTCTCACCAATCTGGAAAGTAAAATCGTACAGAGTAAAACCCCTTACAGAAGAGCCTTATGGAAGAAACAGCCCAAGTGGCTGGGTGTGGTGGCTCACCCCTGTAATCCCAGCACTTTGGGAGGCCATGGCGGATGGATCACCTGAGGTCAGGAATTCGAGACCAGCCTGGCCGACATTGTGAAACCCCGTCTTTACTAAAAATATAAAATTAGCCGGGTGTGGTGGCACGCGCCTGTAATCCCAGCTACTTGAGAGGCTGAGGCAGGAGAATCACTTGAACCCTAGAGGCGGAGGTTGCAGTGAGCCAAGATCACTCCACTGCACTCCAGTCTGGGCAACAGAGCAAGACTATCTTTAAAAAAAAAAAAGAAGCTAAAACCCCCTCTCCCCCAGAACTTCCTGGAGGTCTTGGAGATGTCAGAAGAGCCACCGTCCCCCGCTCACCCCCGCCCACACACACTGTCTGCCTTGGAGGTCTTTATTAGGACACCCCAGCCTGAAAGAACAAAGAGGAAGCTTTTCTAATGTGCTTATTCTAATAGAGGGTTCAGTGCTGGAAATGTCTGGGGCATTTCCTTTTTCCTCCTGCAATAACGTGGGGCAAGCATGAGCTTGCAAACCTCTCCAAGAAAGGTAACAACAGTAAGAGGAGAAGTCCGTGCTATATAAATACCTCTTCTATGTTTACTTCTCTTTCATTCTCTTCTAAAATTGAATAAAGCCTGTCTTTCAAGATCCAGGCTACTCTCAGCTGGGTCATAGGGAACCAGAGGGAGCTTTGTTCACACTGGGCCAGAGCATTGAAAAAAGGCTCAGGGCCTCCCGGGAGCCAGTTTGGAGGCCACAACGTCTGTCTGGGGGCCCCCAAACAAAAGATCAAGCTGAGGGGAGTCAGGGCGGCATGGCCTTCCACCCCTGCCACTAGGCAATTCCACTTTAAGAGCTTTAAAAGGTCTTAGGTTTGACTTCACTGAGGAAGCAGCCTTCCCTTTCTCTTTAGCCTCTCTTTCAACAGATAATTATATATCCCCTACAATCAGGATGACCAGCCGATACAGTTTGGATGTTTGTCCCCTTCAAATCTTATGTTGAAAAGTAATCCCCAGTGTTGGAGGTGGGGCCTGGTGGGGGGTGTTTGTGTCATGGGAGTGGATCCCTCATGGATGGCTTGGTGCCCTCCTTGCAGTATATGAGTGAGTTCACTTTCAGGTCACACAAGATCTGGTTGTTTAAAAGAGTGTGGCACCTCCCCATGCTCTCACCATGGGATGTCAGCTCCTGCTTTGCCTCTGCCTTGATTGTAAGCTTCCTGAGGCCCTCACCAGAAGCAAATGTTGGAACCACGCTTGTACAGCCTGGGGAACTAAACCGTGAGCCAATTAAACCTCTTTTCTTCATAAATTACGCAGCCTCAAGTATTCCTTTTTGGCAACGCAAAATGGTGTAACTCACCAACTATCCCAGTTCACAAAAGATTCAGATTTTTTAATTGTTGTTGAAATAAAATGCATATAACATAAAAACAAAATGCATATAAAATGAAATGCGTATCACCATTTTAAAGTGAACAATCCAGTGACATTTATTTAGTACAGTAACAATGTTGCGCAACAGCCATCTACTTCCAAAATGTTTTCATCATCCCAAAAGGATACTCTGTACCCCCTTAAGCAGTCACTCTCCATTTGTCCTCCACCTCTCAGCCCCTGGCAACCTCCAATCTGCATTCTGTCTCTATGGTATTGCCTACTAGACATCGCATATCAATTGAATCATACAAAATGTGGCCTTCCATGTCCGGCCTCTTTGATTTAGCATGTTTTTGAGGTTCATCCACATTGTAGCATGTATCAGTATTCCATTCCATTCTTACTCAGCCATAAGAATGGCTGAATAAGATTCCATCATGTGGTTATACCATATTTTGTTTCTCCACTCATCCACTAATGAACATTTGGGCTGTTTCCACTTTTGGCTATTGTGAATAGTGCTGCTGTGAACACGGGTGTACATGTATTTGTTTGAGTATGTTTTCAATTCTTTGGGGTATATACCTAGGAGTGGAATTGTGAAGTTTTGTTTTAAAAGCAGGAAAGTCCCAGGCAGGCCAGAACAAGTCAATCATCTACATTCAATATGTCAAGCATTAGGACAGAGGTGCTCGGGTACAAAGACAAGGGAGGAAGGTGCAGTCCTGATGGAGACCCCTGAATAGATGATCCAATCTAGGGTCAGTACCACTGAGGGAAAACCCAGAAAAGAGGCATCTGACCCAGGCAGGGAGTGAGCTGGGGGACGGGAAGGATCTGGCTGGGAAAATCCTCCTTTAAAGAACAAGACATAGTCCTGCCCTCAAGGGGCTTGCAGATTGGTTGTTTGGGGAGACACGCAGAAATTACAGATGAATTAATGCTAAATAGAGATAGACCCTAGCACTAGAGGAACACGCAGGTGGAAGGAGAGCAGCACCGCAGTCAGGAAGGTTTCTTGAGCAAGGACACGTGGGCTGACTTTTGAAGGACAAATAGAAGTCGGCCTCATGCAGATGGAGGGACGGAATTGTAGACAGAATGAATGGCATGTTCAAAGGCACAGAAGCTAGACAGAAAGTGTCTTCCCTTGCACATTCCAGACAAATGAACATCCCACTCCCATGGATTTAAGCAAAAGACCTTGCTGCTATAATATGATGCCAGAAACCACCACCTCACCTACAAATTACAAAGCGTCATCAAAACGCTAAGTTTCTATGAGAAGACGTCCTGAGCATGTGTTAATAGACTAATCAGATACAAAGCTGGATACAAAGCTGCCTAATTTAGGCAGCTTCTAGAAGAACAACTGGCCTGAGCCAAGAAAGAGCTTTCTGCTGGCAAAATTCTGTAAGATTTTGTCTAATCTCTCAGATAAGAAAGTTCATTTCTTATTTTAATATTATAGATACTTCGGGCACTAGCTCCTAAGGTAGAGCCCTGTGAGTATAATGAAGGTCTCCCTGGCAACAATAATAATAAAACGAAGGACTCTCATTGTCTATGGGCTGTCCTCTAACCAACATGTCATGAGATTGTTCTCCATGGAAGTTCTGAGCAAAGGTGGCCCAAGAACTGAACATTTCCCTCCATCTGTGAATCTCCAAACTCTAGGTTTTTGGCTTCTTAGGATATAATCACTTTAGAGAGCCTGATGCAGCCCCTAAAAAAACTCAGAGCAGGGTCTTGAGTCGCACAACCCAGGACTTGTTTATTACACAGTGAGGGAATGTAAGCCTCTAAATTCACTGCTCACCGGCTCCAAAGAGGCTGCTCCACACCACACCCATTAGGAGGAGGCAGCTCTCTCCCTTAACATGCAGAAGAGAGGTGGGCAAAGAAGTCTGGGGAGGGATGTGGTAGAATCATCACAAATGTGGGCACTCCATCACTTTTCCTTCACAGCATTCAATAACAGAATTGTATTTGACTTGAAGTCATGAAATTCATGTGATCGTCTCCCAACCAGTCTCCCATCTCTAGCCTTGACTGTCTCTAGCTGGAAACCTACTGTTGGAATCAGTATTCTCATTCACCATTCCCATCAGGAGACAGCCCGTGCAAAATGTCCCTCTTTGATCTAAAGCAGAACAAGTTTCAAGGAGCTTCACTTCAAAGATGCCTCCACTTTTTCCTGACCTCACCTCTTCCTCTGCCTCTGCCTCAACCACCCACTTATTCCCCAGCATTCCCACATTCCCTTTGTCCCTCGCCAAACTTACTTGGGGGTTGAGGGGCCTAGTAACTTCCAAGCAAGTTCTGAATTCTCATCTACAAGATATCTCTTAAAACAGGGATTGGAAATATGAACGCCCACAGAAGTCAGGCAGCTTTCATAAATGAATGAAATACACCAGCCATGAGAGAAAGGAGTTGGGGCTGCAGAGGGAGAGGTGGGGGGAGCAGGTGTGGTGGTGACACTGAGAAACTGGAGACCACAGATCCCACCTAAGAGAGTTGCTTCCGTTCATCTTCAGCAGATGGAATAGATTCATTCAGGGATGCAGACTCAAGCTGCTGGCTCTTGTGATTTTTTTCAAAATAAGCCAGAAATCTAGATATTAATGTGAAATTCCTAAAGTATAAAACATGATGAGGACAAATAAAACAAGTCTGAAGGTCAGACTCCATCCTTGGTCCACCTGTTGACCCCCAAAACTTTCCTTTTTATCACACCACCATCAGAAAGTTCAACCTGAAAAAGTGGCTTTATCAAGGATTGAGCTCCTAAATTATCATTCAAAGAACATAGGCATTGCTGCAAAGATGGGAACAATCCCAAACTGAAAGACCATTTAAACTGATGTTAGGGAGAAAAGCTGGGACAATATTAGGTATGATTATTGCTTCAACATCTCAAATACCTCCATTTCAAATGAATTATAAGATAACGTTTCATCCTAAAACATGTATTGCTTTCGCAGTCAAAAATATACAGAATGACATGGAACTGCCGGGTGACACAGCACTTTGGAATTTGCAGCCTTACATAAATGTGAGGCATTATTATTAAGCTGTATCTGTTGCATCTTTGGTTGGATCTGACTTTACCAGAAGGGAATTAGTCATGGCTTTCACAAACCTACATAGCACTCATCCCTTTGCTTGTGTACAGAAAACCAAAATTCCAAATTTTTCCAAATCCCCAGATACTTGTCATCTGGGCACCTGAACAAGTACATTTTTCCTGACTCTACTATTTATAAATTGTGTGATTGTGATCTTGCGGAAGACTTAAATTCTCTGCACCATAGTTTTCCCATCTGTAAAATGGGTATAATAATGGGACATATGCCCCATAAAATTGTCACAAGCAATAAAAGCATTAAAATACTTCAAACGCTTAGTACAGAACCTCATTCATAAAAAGTGCTATAGAAAGTTTGCTTCTTGGTTGTTTAGGTTTTGTTTCTGTCATTACTACTATTTGAAATCAAATACACACAGCTTCAGTCACCATTATGAGAAGTAGCCATCTTGAAGCGTGCATTTCTATGCAGTTTAGGATGTGCACCATAATGGAATAATCAGTGCCAATGGAACCGACACTCAGGGCATAGTGAGAAGAGCACTGAATGTCAAAAAAAACCTGCTTTTGGCCTCAGCTCTCTCTTATGTTGAGTGCAACCACATCTTTCTCAGGGGTAAAAGATTGGTGAATATCAGATATGCTACATTATTCACTTTATAGTAAAATAGGCATAATAAGGCAGCATCCCATTTCAGAGTCAGAATCACCCTGAAAATTTCCTCAAAGCCATCATTCACTTATTAATAGGGTACCTACTATCTGCCCAGACCTGCAAAGCCCTTGTGAAAGGTAGAAAGGCAAAAGATGAAAGGACAGTGAGATGCCACTATATTCCCATCAACCCGGCAAAAACTAGAAAGATGTATAATACCAAGTGCTGGTGATGATGTGGTGACAGAGGGGGCCCTCATGCACTGCTCATGGGGTCCAGCCATTCTGGAAAGCAAACTAGGAGAGGTTCCTAAAACTCTGCATTTTTATGACACCGTGGGAGGGAGTGATCCCTTAAATTGTACCTTTAAATTCATACCTTTAAATCTCTGACTTCAAAACGAGGCTTTTTGCACTATGCACCTTGCATGCTTCATCCTAGTCACAGCCCTGATTAGTATGTTCCTACCCTGTAACCTGGCAATCCCATTCCTGAATTTATATCTCAGAGAAGGAATCACAGAGACCTTTAAGAGACATATCCCACCCTTAAGAATTACACAAATCCTTGTCCATAAGGAATAAGGAAGCTCCTTGAGGCATTGTTGAATCAAGGAATTAGAGACAGAGTATATGTCTATCACCAAGGGATTCAATATATAAAGTGTGGCAAATGCATATTAAGGAATTATCTGTACCATTTAGAAACATCAAATAGATGTAAATATAGCAATGTGGATGGAGTTAAAACATGGCATTTAGAGAGAAGAAACCATAATAAACAAAACTTTTTAGCATACCATTTTAGATAAATTAACAATATTAACAAAACCATGCAACTTTGCATATTTTACAAGGATAGAAAGCATATTAAGGACATGCCAAACATATAAAAGCGAGTGCCTATGAGACATGATAGGAGTAGGAAATAGGGATACAGAGGCAAAAATAAAATAAGAGAAGGGCTTCCTGACGACCAAAGGCAATAATGGGCTGCTAACTGGCAGAAGGAGTAACGCAGCCCTCCACATCCAAGTACTGTCAACAATCCCATAAAGCAGGCATGAGCTATGGTAGATCCCTGCAACAGAAGGCAATGATACAAACATTTGCAAATCTGATTAATAACATGAAACAATATACAAGGAACAGCTGAGTTAGTTCTACAGACAAATGCTTTCCAAGTTAGGAGGAGGGAGTTTAGATCAGGGAGAGACAAAATCAGAATGGTATCCTAGAGTTAGTCCTTGAAGAACAAGTAGGATTTATACCGCTGATTAATTAGGTAAATAACCATGAGGCTAATGATAAGTCACCGACTGAGTTCCTAGTAAGCAACACAAAGCACTTTATATATACTGTATCATTTAAGCCTCCTAACAATATTGCAAGGTAGAGGTTGTTATTTTCATTTTACAGAGGAGAAAACTGAGGCTCGGGGATATGAATAGATAGCTTTCCACAGGTCTAACAGCTAGTAAGTGACAGAGGTGAGATTTGTACCTTTAAATCTCTGACTCCAAAGCCGGGCTTTGCACTATGCACACATATGCACAACATTCAGGAAGAACTGACAACAACATGAATCAAAGGCCAAAGGCTCAGCTTAAGGTACAGTGGACAGAAAACTTGGACTGCAGAGGAGGGGGATGTGAAAGGAAGGGAAGGGCCCAGAATGTCAGGCTATGGATTGATGGCTTGGTCTTCTCTAACAACACCTCCGTATTTTTTTAATCATAAACCTTTGTCAGTTTTCTGAAACTGAGTATGCCTTCCAATATAGCAGTTGTTTTCTACATGCATGAGTTTATTAATGATGCATTTTATAAAGTTACATGCATGAGTTATTAATGATGCATTTTATAAAGCACATACAAAAAGTAAACCTTTTAAAGAGACAAGACAGAAATCTAACTCAGAGTTCTGTTGTTTTCTTCTTGCACTCCAATGGATTGCCTTACAAATGCCGCCCCGGCTACATCCAGTTCAGATCCTTCCCTCTATGACTCACTGTCTTCTCTTCCTTTGGTTGCTGAGGGTGATCTCTGACATGCACATTAGCCTCAGCTGAAATCAGGAGTGAGGACTCAGGAAATCAGTTTCTTTGGCCTTCTCTGTCTGGTCCCGTCCTTCCCTCCTCCAGGGACCCCTCCTGGGTTGCAGCCCTGCCCCTGCTCAGCAAAGGCCTCCTGCAGATCCTGCAGCCTGGAAACACAGATGCACCAAACCCCTGCACACCGGAAGGGATGTCCCCAGAAATCAAAGCACGTCCTCCCCGTTGCCGTGGAAACTGGAAACAGGGGAAGACTGGTTGTTTTCCTCCAAGGACAACCCTGTAAACAGTAACCAAACACCCTGGCCAGTCTGGAAGCCTGTTTGCAAAGAGCATAGCCAACTCTTCATGGATAGGCGGTGGGAATCAGGGCCCATTAGTCCCTCTCATATCACATTTGCAACGCCTGGATTAGGTTTGATAATCCTGACACCGCCACATAGCAGGTGGATTTGTTTATAGAGTCATGTCCTGACCACAAGGGAATTTGAAACAGAGTAGCTCCCCACTGTTCTGGAGTCTGCCTAAAATATGCCTTCCAGGAGGCTGAGGGGTCACCAAATGCCCAGAACTGGGTTTGGCTTCCAATCACTTCACCCACTTCTGATTCATTGCCTCCTCCCACCAGCTCTAAGGCAGGCCTGGACCTCTGACTCCACTGAAGGTTCACGGGCAGCAGTCACTGAGTGACAGAGTTGAGCTAGCTTGAGGTTCAAGGTTAGGCCATGTTAGGCTACATTTCTGGCTTTGGCCCTTACTGGCTGTATGAGTCTGCTAGGGCTGCCATAAGAGACCATCACAAACTGTGTGACTTAAGGCAACAGAAATGTGTTCCCTTACAGCTCCATCTGAAATCAAGCTGTTAGTAGGACCACCTCCCTCCAAACCCTCTAGGAAGGATCCTTCCCTGCCTCTTCCAGTTTCTGGCAGCCCCAGGGAGGGATTCCTTGCTTGTGGCGGCATCACTCCAATCTTGGCCCCTGTCTTCATATGACTGTCTTCTCTGTCTCTGTGTCCAAGTCCAAATCTTTCTCTTTTTATAAGGACAGCAGTCATGTTGGACTTAGGGCCCACTGGACTCCATGTGACCTCATCTGAACTAGTTACATCTGCAACAACCCTATTTCCAAATAAGGTCACATTCTCAGGTACTGAGGAGGGAGTAGGGGTTAGGGTTTCAACATATCTTTTGTGGGGAGACAATTCCACCCATAGCACTATGTGTGACTTTGATGAAGTTGATTAACCTCTCTGAGCCACAGCTTTCTCAGCTGAAAGAGACAGAACTGTGACCCACTTCACATGGCTGCTGTGAAGCTCAGATGAGATTCACAGGGAAAGCTCCAACTCCTGGAAGATGTTCAGTACATATTAGTTCCTCTTTGTGTTCCCGTCATGCCTCCCCCACCCCTCCTCTTCCTACTTTGGGGAAACTTTGGACCCCTATTCAGATAACAACTGTTTGCCTGCTGAGCTATGGATCAGCCACAGGCATTATGCAATCAGAGCTAAAATTAGGAGAAGAGGCAGGAAATGTGTGGAGGAAATGACCTGGTTGTGAATCTGTGAATGGATGGGTCTGGTGTCCACGGCATTAAAAATCATAAGGTTCAGAGGACAATTTGGCAATATTCTAATTAAAAGTTAAAATGCCTATGCTCTTTGGACAGCAGTCTGCTTAAGGGTAGTTATCCTAACCATTTGGTCTCTGTGCCAAATGACACATGAAAGGCACGGTCATCACAACATTGTTATCAAAGCAATGGTTGGAAACAGCCTACACTTGATGGAATGAAATACGACGCAGTTAATAAAAAATGATAAAGGGGATATCACCACTGATCCCACAGAAATACAAACTACCATCATAGAATACTATAAACACCTCTATGCAAATAAACTAGAAATTCTAGAAAAAATGATAAATTCCTGGACACATACAGCCTCCCAAGACTAAACCAGGGAGAAGTTGAATCCCTAAATAGACCAATAACAAGTTCTGAAATTGAGGCAGTAATAGCCTACCAACCAGAAAAAGTCCAGGACCAGATGGATTCACGGCCAAATTCTACCAGAGGTACAAAGAGGAGCTGGTATCATTCCTTCTGAAACTATTCCAAACAATAGAAAAAGAGGGAATCTGCCCTAACGCATTTTATGAGGCCAGCGTCATCCTGATACCAAATCCCAGCAGAGACACAACAAAAAAAGAAAATTTCAGGCCAATATCCCTGATTAACATAAATGCGAAAATCCTCAATAAAATACTAGCAAACCAAATCCAGCAGCACATCAAAAAGCTTATCCCCCACGATTAAGTTGGCTTCATCCCTGGGATGCAAGGCTGGTTTAACATATGCAAATCAATAAACATAATTCATCACATAAACAGAACCAATGACTAAAACCACATGATTATCTCAATAGATGCAGAAAAGGCCTTCAACAAAATTCAACAGCCCTTCATGCTAAAAACTCTCAATAAACTAGGTATTGATGGAATGTATCTCAAAATAATAAGAGCTATTTATGACAGACCTACAGCCAATATCATACTGAATGGGCAAAAACTGGAAGCATTCCCTTTGAAAATTGACACAAGACAAGGATGCCGCCTCTCACCACTCCTATTCAACATAGTATTGGAAGTTCTGGCCAGGGCAATGAGGCAAGAGAAAGAAATAGAGAGTGTTCAATTAGGAAAAGAGGAAGTCAAATTGTCTCTGTTTGCAGATGACATGATTGTATATTTAGAAAACGCCATTGTCTCAGCCCAAAATCTCCTTAAGCTGGTAAGCAACTTCAGCAAAGTCTCAGGATACAAAATCAATGTGCAAAAATCACAAGCATTTCTATATACCAATAATAGACAGAGAGCCAAATCATGAGTGAACTCCCATTCACGATTGCTACGAAGAGAATAAAATACTTAGGAATACAACTTACAAGGGATGTGAAGGACCTCTTCAAGGAGAACTACAAACCACTGCTCAAGCAAATAAGAGAGGACACAAATGGAAAAACATTCCATGCTCATGGATAAGAAGAATCAATATCGTGAAAATGGCCATATTGCCCAAAGTAATTTATAGATTCAATGCTATCCCCATCAACCTACCATTGACTTTCTTCACAGAATTGGAAAAAACTACTTTAAATTTCATATGGAACCAAACAAGAGCCCACATAGCCAAGACAATCCTAAGCAAAAAGAACAAAGCTGGAGGCATCACACTACCTGACTTCAAACAATACTACAAGGCTATAGTAACAAAAACAGCATGGTACTGGTACCAAAAAAGATATATAGACCAAAGGAACAGCACAGAGGCCTCCGAAATAACACCACTCATCTACAACCATCTGATCTTTGACAAACCCAACAAAAGCAATGGGGAAAGGATTCCCTATTTAATAAATGGTGTTGGGAAAACTGGCTAGCCATATACAGAAAGCTGAAACTGGATCCCTTCCTTACACCTTATACAAAAATTAACTCAAAATGGATTAAAGACTTAAACATAAGACCTAAAACCATAAAAACCCTAGAAGAAAACCTAGGCAATATCATTCAGGACATAGGCATGGGCAAAGACTTCATGACTAAAACACCAAAAGCAATGGCAACAAAAGTCAAAATAGACAAATGGGATCTAATTAAACTAAAGAGCTTCTGCACAGCAAAAGAAACTACCATCAGAGTGAACAGGCAACCTACAGAATGGGAGAAAATTTTTTCAATCTATCCATCTGACAAAGGGCTAGTATCCAGAATCTACAAAGAACTTAAACAAATTCACAAGAAAAAAAACAAACAACCCCATCAAAAAGTGGGCAAAGGATATGAACAGACACTTCTCAAAAGAAGACATTTATGCAGCCAACAAATATATGAAAAAAAGCTCATCATCACTGGTCATTAGAAAGATGCAAATCAAAACTACAGTGAGATATCATCTCACGCCAGTTAGAATGGTGATCACTAAGAAGTAAGGAAGCAACAGATGCTGGAAAGGATGTGGAGAGATAGGAACGCTTTTACACTGTTGGTGGGAACATAAATTAGTTCAACCATTGTGGAAGACACTGTGGTGATTCCTCAAGGATCTAGAACTAGAAATACCATTTGACCCAGCAATCCCATTACTGGGTATATACCCAAAGGATCAATCATTCTACTCTAAAGACACATGCACACGTATGTTTATTGTGGCACTGTTCACAATAGCAAAGACTTGGAACCAACCCAAATGCCCATCAATTTTAGATTGGATAAAGAAAATGTGGCACATATACACCATGGATTACCATGCAGACTTAAAAAAGGATGAGTTCATGTCCTTTGCAGGGACATGGATGAAGCTGGAAACCATCATTCTCAGCAAACTAACACAAGAACAGAAAACCAAACACCACATGTTTTCACTCATAAGTGGGAGTTGAACAACGAGAACACATGGACACAGAGAGGGTACATCACACACCAGGGCCTGATGGGATGTAGGGGGCTAGGGGAGGGATAGCATTAGGAGAAATACCAAATGTAGATGACAGGTTGATGGGTACAGCAAACCACCATGGCACGTGTATACCTATGTAACAAACCTGCACATTCTACACATGTACCTCAGAACTTAAAGCATAATTAAAAAATAAAAATAATAAATACCACACAGTCCTTAAAAATAATGAAATATTTCTCTGTATGAAATGAAATTATCTCCAAGATATAATTTTAAGTAAAAAAAAACAAGGTTTGAGAAAGGAGGGAGTAACCAGTGGTGCACAGAGGATCTTAAGGTGGTGAAGCTACTCTGTATGATGCTATCATGTGGCTGCATGTATAGGCATTGGTCCAAACCCACAGAACGTACAGCAAACACCAAGAGTGAACTGTGATGTAAACTCTGGGATTTGGGTGATAGTGATGTGTGGGCTTGTCCATTGTAACAAATGGACCACTCTGGGACAGAATGCTGATAACAGAGGAGGCTGTTCATGTGTGAGGAAGGGGTGGATGGGAAATCCCTACATCTTCTGCTCCATTTTGTTGTGAATCTACAATTGCTATATTTTTAATTGTTCTATAAATTCTATTTTTAAAAAAGCAATGTTCAGAATAGTGTTCCAACTACCATGGTGGGGAGGAGAGAAAACATACGTGTATCTGTATACATGTCTACACACATATACACACGTATACATGTAATATATAAAGATATGTTAAAAATTAATAAGGGTTGCCTCAAAGAAATTGGCCAACTGGGGCTGAAGACAAAGGGAGACACACTTTTCATTGTATATCCCTCTGTGTTTTTTTTGTTTTTTTTGTTTTTTTTGTTTTTGAGACTGAGTCTTGCTGTGTTGTCGAGGCTAGAGTACAATGGCACGATCTCAGCTCACTGCAACCTCCGCCTCCTGGGTTCAAGCGATTCTTTTGCCTCCGCCTCCCGAGTTACAGAGATTACAGACACCTGCCCCCACACCCAGCTGATTTTTGTATTTTTACTAGAGATGGGGTTTCACCATATTGGCCAGCCTGGTCTCGAACTCCTGATCTCAAGTGATTTGCCTACGTCAGCCTCCCACCTCTGTGTCTTTTGAATTAGGTACTGTATCTACTGTAAATAAATCAAAACTTTTAATAATAAAAATAACAGGTTTCAAAGGCTTGTGACCAATTACGCTTCACCTAGACTCATGAGGAACCCCAGCGAGGGCTCCAACGTAGTGGAGAGGAGGAAGCACGTCAGGTAGCTGATGGCAGCGCGTAGCCTGGCAAAGATGTTTTCATTTAGAGACAAATGCTATCCACAGCTGGAAATATAAGAATCAGAATCTGACCTTCAAAAAGAGAGCATGGTGAAAACTACATACGTAGGCCAGCCATGTGAGCTGAAAGCAGAGATGGGGTTCTGAGTGGGAAGGGGGGAGATAGGGGAAAGGACCGGGGCCCATCTCACACTCAGGGCACACAGCTGGAGGGGTGCCTAGAGGAGATAGCTAAAGCTCCTTGGCACAGAGGCCCGCTCAGGCTCCACACCTCTGCACCTGCTGGGGAAGACAAGGCTGTAGAGGCAATCTCCTCCCTCTCCCCAATAAAGCCAGGAAAGAAAGAAAGGCATCCAGGAGCCAACAAGGCCCCACGACAGTGCACGCATGTCATGTCCTCTTCCTCCACCTCATCCAAGCTTACTCAGGGAGTGTCTTGTTCCCTTGGGTTCCTGCAAGGGGCCTGGCTAATTTAGTAAACTAATCAAGACACACGATCAGGCATTATTTCATAAGCATCTCATGGGGCCACATGGGATGTTTCCTCTTGAATCAACTTGACATTGCAATATTAATAGCTGTTAATTGTTTAATTTGTTCATCCTTCCCAGGGGCAATTGCATTTTAACTGGCACCTCAGACACTCAAAGGAATGTGTCTACAGGAAATTATTTCAGGACTGTGACAGCATGGTGGAAGACAGCTATTTGGGACTGGAGGCCTTCCCTGTACCCTCCAAATTCTGTGACAAAGGCAAGAACCAAATTAATCCACCTTTTATCCCAGGCCATCCCTGAAACACTGAGGACCACTTTAAGAGGGGGGAAAAAAAGCCACTTGGAGTGCAGGCTGCCAGCACTGCTCTATCATCTACAGCTAAACAGAAGGCCAGTGTCACCTGAATGGCTCAACAAAGCACAATTGACTTGGGGTCTGTCAATCAGACATATTCCACTGACATAATTTAGCTGCCACTATATGTCAGGTCTGTAAAGACATAATTGCTGGGTCCCGAGAGAATTGATGCTCAACACAAGGCATTACAAGTGGGCCCAAGAGTGTCCTTTTCTTCCCCTGACATGAAACTCCAAGAACTTCTCCAGTCTAACACACGCAAAAAATTCACTACTTTTCAGGGACAAAAGCCCTTACTTTGTGTTGCCACAGACAATGAAAAAATCAGCCTGTCTGGTCCACCCTCAGAGAAAAAGCCAGTCAGTGCAATTTACCATGACCACTGACCATTCAGTGGGACTTACCAACTCTCTTGGGGACTGCATTCTTTCAGTATGCAGGGTATGGAAACTCTATAAGCCTCTCGATTGCCCTGGTGCAATTACTGTATTGATTTGATGCAGCATTAGCTCCGTGTTTAAGGTAGTTTATGGTTTTTAATTTGCAATTAAGTCAAACGATCCCTGTTTGTTAAAATGGCTGACATTTGTTTATATTCTGCAGCAAGCAATGAAGGCAACTTCCATTTAGCCTCACAAACACATGGAGTAGGGAGCTTGACATTTAAGCAACTCAGTTCCTTGCCTGGCTCTTCACACTAGTAAAAAATAATTAAACTTATATCCATCTATTATTAAAAAGGTCCAAGTAATAATTGGTGCTTTTCAGTGATAAGCTAATGAAGCCACCAAGCAACATTGGGAGGATACTAACTAGAGGAGTAGCAAGAATAATTGATTTTGTCACTTCTTCCCTTCTGAATAATCGCCAAGCACTTGACCTACTCTATTTCTTTCCAACCTCTGATGTAGCTACACTGCATCTATTCTTTGTGGTGGTTGTTTTTTGGCATCATTTCTGTTGTTGCATTCTGTTTCAACATAAATCTCAGAATTCTTCTTTCTCTAAGAAGAGGCAAGATGGTAGCTCACAGGAGTTTGCGTCTCAGGAGTGCATCCCATAATCCCAGTGTCAGAGCAATATCAGCCATCACTGAGCATGTAGTGTTTCTGCACAAATGTTGTACCTCACGTGAGGACTCTCAAATATTCTCAGATAGTCCCATTTCCATGTCCCATTCTTAGCTCTTTCAACTCTGTGTACCCACCAACTTACCTCATGACAGTTGCAACATAAATACCAGCTGCAGAAAAGAATGCCTGTTTTTTGAACCATCCCAACATCTAACAACTTGGTAAAAGAGAATGAGCCTGCAACAGAGATAGAGGATAGAAGAGTAGAAGATCAGAGTGTCACAGAAGATAAAGGAAAAATGTGTTTCAAGAACATCAATGCTGCTAAAGAGGTAAAGGAAGAGGAGGACTGCATGGGAGGTAGGAAAGGGATGATTTCAGATACCAAGTGGCACTCAGGTGACCTCAGTTATAACCGTTTTGATAGAGTGATGGGGGCGGGAGCCAACATGGGGCATTTGGAGGAAGGAAGAGTTGTCACTGCAAGGCAGATGCTTCCCTGCTCTGCACACCTCAGTAACCAAGGCTGTGACTACGCAGGGAAGATTCATCAGTTTAAGAGCTTCCTCATAGCAGTATTCCAAGTCATGCCTTTAATTTGCCATTTACTAAACTACTAACCTTCTTTTTAAGAGATGAGGTCTTGCTATGCTGCCCAGGCTGCTCTCCAACTTCTGGGCTCAAGGGATTCTCCCACCTCAACCTCTCAAGTAGTTGGGATTACAGGCGTGAGCCACTGCACCTGGCTTAAACTACTAACTTAAACATTGATTTACACAAAAAACATTCAAATACTGAAGAGCCATAACTACCATATGGGTTTGCTATTAACTGCCTCCTCATTTTCCAGGTAATTCATGAAATCCAGCCAGAAGTAGCTCAGAGAGCAACTCCGGACTGACCTTTGTCTGGCTTTACTACTTCCTTTGTAGCCTGATGGCTTCATCATCCCTGCTCCATTTCCATGTCCTATTCCAGTCCAAGATCCTTGCTGATCCATGACAATCTATGTTAGACCAGCCACTTGCCCACATCAGAGCCAAACTAGAGTTCTGTCTGTACTGAGAGTTCTGTCTCTACACCTGTTTATACATAGCTCCAAGATCATGCAGAGATTTCAGTAACAGCAGGGTTTTGCTCTGTCGTGTCCCAGGCAAGTGTTGAAGCAACTAGAAATGAAAGTTCTGCAAACATGCTCCAGAGAAAACCTATGAATATGACCTACAGATACCATCTCCAGTTGTGATGGGTGAGTAGTTAAGATCTCCCTGGTTGTAGGGAGAAAAGAAACTTCAAGTGCTGATTGTCACCTGGAAGCCCCTCCTGCTACTACTCCACGACCTTTGAGATACTGGTTGGTAGGAGCTTTTTCAAGCAAGTTTTCCTGCCATAGTCTCCATTACTCTAGGGCATTGCAGATGAGACAAAGTTTTGTGGGGAACACATGACACAGGGATTATACAGAAAGAGAGCCCCCTGCAGTGATGTAATCCCCTCCTCTGGAAACTAAAATGGCCCTGTAAACTACGGGGAGGCATTAAGGGTATGGTTTTTGACATCAGGAGGCACTAAGGGTCATGAATACATCCTGTATCAATGACAAATTTAAGGGGATTGTGTAAATTCAATTGTTAATTAAACTATTCAAACTATTTGGGACTAGGAAAAACCAAGGCAACTGAATCAACAGGTATTTTCTAAACTCACTTTAATTTAAAAAAAAAAAATGATAGTGACACCCAACAGTCTCTTCCAGCTAAGTGACTATTCAGAAATAGTCAGGAAAGAAAAGATATACTATGTTATGGGTCAAATTATGTCACCCAAGAAAAAATATGTTGAAGTCTTAACCCCCAGTACCTAAAGACATAACCTTATTTGGAAGTGGCATCTTTGCAGCAGTCATCAAAATAAGGTCATTAGGGTGGTCCTAATCCAATAGGACTGGTGTGCTTACAAAAAGGGGAAATTTGAACAAAGACACAGACACACACACACAGGAAAAACAATGTGGAGACACAGGGAGAAGACAGCCATGTGCCTAGAGGAGGCACAAGCTGAGGAATACCAAGGATTGCCAGGAAATCCTTGAGGCTAGAAGGGGGAAGAATGAATTCTTCCGTGGTGCTGTCAGAGGGAGCACGGCCCTGCCAACACTTTGATCTCAGACTTCTGCCCCCAGAATGTGAGAAAATAAATTTATGTTATTTTAAGCCACCTAGTGTTTGGTACTCTTCTATGGCAGGGACACTAATACATTATCTCATTATATATATATGTATTAAGTGTAGGTTTATCCCAATTTCTAAAAATTAAGGTGTGAAAGAGATCTCCATTTTATGAACGAACCACCATGGCGGGCAGATCAACAAAGCTCCATTTGGCACAGCAGTGAGAATATAACAACAGAAGAAAGAGACAGAATAAAAAGAATCCTGAAGTAAAATTAGAAACAAAACACATAAGGCTCTATTACAATTTGCTTAAAATGTGTAAATTTTGTTCTGGGCTTCCCACTGGCCAATTTAAAGAAATTCAATCAGTTACACAAGACAACGTCCACATGGAGGGAGAAAAAATGGCTATCAGGAGAAGCAAAGCTATTTCTGAGAATGAATCCTGAAAGAAAGTTAACTAAGAGACTGGTCTGATTACTGAATTATATCTCTAGCAATATCAATTATCCCATACACACTGTTTAATTCTGAATCATATATGGCTCTGTCTTATAATGTCCTTCATTTTCAGCCAATGGACACACAGGATGGTAAAAGTTGGGATTTTTAAAGCTAAAATGATGTCATTGATTTCCAGCTGTCTATTGATGTGGCTTAATCCAGAGATAAAATCTAGAACGTTTTATGCAGGGAGTCCCAAAAACTAGTCCACAGACTAGATGCATCAGGATCACCTGCAGCTTACCTTTAAGAAGATACAGATGGCTGGATTTCAACCCTGGGGAATCTGATTGATTGGACAATTCCAAATGAATTCTAGATGAGAACCACTCATCTAGAGGATTATAAAGTGCCTCAACCAAGCCTTCTGATATGTAGGCAACATTTCTCTCAGTCCAGATTTTAATAACTTTTAGATAGAAGGTGAGACTCCAAGTCAATTATGGGTTCCCTCAATGTGACAGTGTAAACCCACCAAACTCATTGCTACGGTCTGAATGTGTCTGAAAATTCATATGTTGGAAGTTTGATCCTCAGTGAAGTGGCATTGGGAGGTGGGGCCTTTGGGGAGGTGAAATGACTGGTGCTGTTTGCTATGGTTTGGATGTGGTTTCTTTGTTCCCACCAAAGCTCATATTGAAATTTGACGCCCAGTGTAGTGGTGCTGGGAGATGAGGCCTACTGAGAGATGTTTGAGATGTGAGGACAAATCATGAATGGCTTAGGGAAGTTCTTGTGGTAGGAAGTGAGTTCTTACTCTTGTGAGAATAAATTAGTTCTTTTAGGAATAGTTGCTGAGAGAGCGGGTTGTTATAAAGCCAGGACGTCCCTCAGGTCTCCCTCTTCTTCACATGTGTTCGCTTCCCCTTTGACTTTCTCCACCATGTTATGATGCAGCACAAAAGCCCTCTCCAGAAACCAGGGCCATGCCCTTGAACTTCTCAGCCTGCAGAACCATGAATTAAATAAACCACCTTCCTTTATAAATTACCCAGACTCGGACGTTAATAGCAACATAAAACAGACTAAGCCACCATGACCAAAAAAAAAAAAGCTTGCTGGAGTGGATTCACTCTCTTCTTCTCTTCTGCTATGTGAGCACACAGCAAGAAGGCCCTCACAAGACACCAGAATCTTGATCTTGGACTTTCCATCCTCCAGAACTGTGGGGCAAAAATTTGTTTTTTATGTTACCCAATCTCAGGTAGTCTGTTGTAGCATCACAAAAGGACTAAGACACTTATCACCTCAAAAAGATTGTGTTATGGAGTGAAAGTGACTCATCACCCACACTTCCATGTGCCACGGGGGCTTGGTCTGAATTCCATCACCTCATTTATTAGCCACATGGTCCTTAGCTGGGTCAGGGACCTCTCTAGGTTTACTTGGCCTAGAGAAATGAAGATGACAAAGCCAGTTTCATCCATTTGTTGTAATAGTTAAATAAGAGTAGTGTGAAACTCTTAGCAAAATGCCTGAGTGGTGGAAACATCCAATAAAGGAAGCTTATTGTTGTTTATTATTCCTCTAGGAGATATCATTTTCTAAGACTGTGCCCCAAGATATCACCCTGCCTGGCTGAAATTGTCAAACTGCAAGATAAACCATTGAGATGCTCCACAGATCAAAACTGACCTCCAAGGTGCAAAGCTGTGACATAAACCCAGAAAGTGGGCCCTCCCTGGCTACCTCCAACCCTTGGTGAGGGTGTCTTCTACACAGCCCAGTTGGGAGATGGGAGGACAGGTGTGCAGAATGCCATGTGTAACTAAGCAGAGAGTGTTGTTACAGAAATGAGGAAGGCTGTGAGAGCAAACGACTCAAAACCCATAAAAATAAACCAGACTCCACATGCAGCACTTAAATGCAACAAGGACTCAGGAGGCCTCCTAGAGAATGGTTCATGTTATTTTTATTTAGTAAGGGTCTTTTAAATCCTTTATTGGTTAATTCTTCTATTGGCTGGATAGCTCCTTCTTGCAGGATCATAAAGCTAGGTGCAATCTTGAATGGATTATTTTAGGACCTTATTATTTGCCTCCAAACACTTTTTAATCTAAACCTGAGTGCCCAAGGTACCCAAGGTGTATATGCAGGGTAACTAATTTCTATGCCTTCCAAAACTGAGTCCACGGCAGGGTGTGGGGAAAGGGAAGCAGAGGGTGCCATTAAAACTCAGAGGTAGGGTGGTGGAGGGACTGCATAATTAGCAGTAAGCTCGATAAGCGACTCTAGGGAGGCAATGTAACTGCTGTCAATATCAGTTTCATCTCCGCCACATCTATTTAATGGTCTGTGATGCAGCATTTACAAAGGTCTATGGAGAGTTCATAACATAGGAAATGCTTATTTTACTCTGCCCTGTACATCAGTATAGAAATAATAGCTGCACTTGACTGAGCACAAACTCTCTCTCATTATATACACTCATTAAAGGATATGTATATGTATATGTATATGTATATGTATATGTATATGTATATGTATATGTATATGTATATGTATATGTATATATACACACACACACTCTCTCTCATGAAACTAACATCCTACAGGGTAGGTTTTATTTTCCTCACCTGAAAGATAGGGAAACAGACTCAGGAAAACCACTTGTCCAAGTTCATCCAGCTACTGTGTGGTAGAAACAGGTTTTAAATCCAACCCCAAAGCCTGCACTCTCATTTTTGCCAACTAGCTAGGGTCAACACAAAAGATTCAAAGGAAGTAGACTAATGTGATTGTATCTTGATCCTGGGAGTTTGGGCATTTTTAAAAACAGTTTTGCATTTTTCCAGAAGGACCCCAAAATTTCTGTCATGAGAAAGAACATTAAACCTGGTTTTGTGTATTCCCTTCCCATATGAGATTCCAGCAAACACAGGAGCCCTCAAATGGACCTAGCAGTGGGCCTTGCTTCCTGCCTGCCATCTCTGAGTCTGTGTCACTGCTCTGTGGCCTGCTGAGAACTGCTCTGCTCACCACACAAGATGGGATTTGACTTGTGCAAACTTTTATTTCTTCTATAGCTGTTCCTTAACCCCAGCCAGGGACCCCCGCTGCCCCACAGCTCCTTAGAGACTGTATCAGTTTCCTGTAGCTGCTATAACAAAGTACCACAAGCTGGGTATCTTAAAAAAACAGAAATACATTCTTTTTCAGGCCAGGCTCAGTGGCTCACACCTGTAATCCCAGTACTTTAGGAGGCTGAAGCAGGTAGATCACCTGAGATCAGGAGTTCAAGACCAGGCTGGCCAACATGGCAAAACCTCGTCTCTACTAAAAGATATAAAAATTAGCCAGGCATAATAGTGGGTGCCTGTAATCCCAGCTACTCAGGAGGCAGAGGCAGGGAGAATTGCTTGAAGCCGGGAGGCAGAGGTTGCAGCAAGCTGAGATGGTACCACTGCACTCCAGCCTGGGCAACAGAGCTAGATGCTGTCTCAAAACAAAAACAAAAAAAATTATCCTTTTTCAGAGCTCTGGAGGCCAGAAGTCCAAAAGTACAAAGTTTTGGCAGAGCCAGGCACCCTCCAGTGACCCTGGGGAAAATTCATTCCTTGCCTCAATCCAGGTTCTGATTCCAGGCATTGCTTGACTTCACTCCAAGCTCCGCCTTTGACTTCACATAGTCTTCTTAATTTTGTCTCTTCTTCTGTATCTTGTAAAGACATTTGTCATTGAAGTACAAGTGCCTACTTGGATAATCCAGAATGAGTTCATCTCAAGGTCCTTAATTCTAATACATCTGTAGAGACGCTTTTTCCAAATAAGATCACATTTGCATGTTCTAGGGATTAGGTGGTGAACACAGTTTTGTGGGAGCCACCGTTTAACCACTATGGAAACCATCCCTCTTGCTAGCCCAGGGCTTATAACAAGAGACAATGGGATGGATGCTGTATTTACACCTTATGATGTCAGTTTCAGGATCATGTGTTGAACTCTCCACATCACCACAGCAGAAGAAAACTCTGCTGCCAGACAGAAAAGGGAGAAATTTGTAAGCTCTTCTCTATCTCCTCCCTAACCAAGCACCATCTCTTGCATAGCAAGCAATGATTGACTCTAACATGAAACACTGTCCCTTTAAGTTCCTGAGGCCCAAATTCTTGAAATCTCTTTTTAATTTTATGGTAACCATTAGGGGCTTTGTCGAGGAAGGATGACAGGAGTAATCACCCGAAAACAGATTTCTAGGTAATTTATACTTAGTCAATCCAAACCTAATTCCTGGGTGACCTATACTGTGCCTAAGGAGGCTGACATAATCATGTATTTACCCTTTACCCTGAAATTAGATGGTACTTACTATGCAATTACTCAGCCACTAAGTGACAATTACCATGTAATTAAATGGTCAGTGGTTACCATATTATTAAATAGCATTGACATGATACTCATTCCACAGAACCTTGTACAGTGGTCACGGACTTAAACTCCCCACCAAAAAAATTACAGCCATTCCCGGGAAGATCTGTTCTTTGCTTGGGTGGCTTTCTAGCTAGCAAAAATCCCAGTGCCACATGCCTCAGAGGGAGCCTGGAAGTAGTGAACATTGAGCTCAGACATAACATGATCTCTTAGGCACAGGCTTCTCATTAGACCAGAAGAGCACCTCTGTAGCCCAGCTCCAGTCCAAAGCTAGGCTATCTGGCCAAATTCCACCATCCTTCTCCAAGAACATGGTGCAAAGGAGTAGAAGACATCATATTCATTCTCTCCTGGATGTGATACCTACCCAGAGGCAAAAGATGCTGGGAGAGCTTGGAGCCCTGAGTAAAGCAAAGCCCTTGGGATGAGTGATTCCACCTGAGAGGAATAGTCACCAAATCTTTAATACAAACATAAGCTGCCTCCTTTGTTCCATAAGGACAGGACCTTTATCTGCCTTGTTTACTGCCTTATCACCAATACCACTCCTGGCACATTGTAGATGCTCAGTATTAGTTGAATGAATTGAATTGATTATTATGCATCTACTACATGCCAGGCACTCTGAATTGAAACATTTTAAGGACATTGTGAGGTCCTCATGGAGTCTCAGAAAGGCTGAATCACTTGCCCAAGATTGTAAGACAATCAGGGTGTGGCAGGTGCAAGACTAAACGCTTGACACCCCAACCTCAACCATCCTGGAGTGGATTTCTGGATTCAACATGGCGGCCCTCACAGCAAGGTTACGACGCACCATAAAGATGAAGGGGTGGGTCACACGTTCCATAGGCTGCTCACATTTACAGACTGTCTGACTTTTAGAGAAATATTTCTGGACTACAATGCAGAAAAAGAAGGCCAGGGACTGGATTTAAGCAGTGGTATAGTGCTAACTTCATTGTACAAATCATCCTGTATGCCAGCCTCCCAAAAAATCTGCGGCACCAGATCCCACCTCCAGGCAATGAATGGGAGCATTCTAATGTCACCAGCTGGATAGGCTCAGAGAAGTTTCAGCTACTGATGACTGAGGAATACATCTTGGAAAGACTGCCGCTGTTCTGCAGCTCTTCATTAAGTATTAATGTATCAAAACCAAAATAACCTACTCCCCCAGAACAGTTTCTCCCGAAATACCTTCTTGTGTTCGGTAACCCTAGTACACTTCCCCAAGTGCTCAGTAATCCTAGTACTCCTTCCAAGTAGCACTTCCCTCAGGTGCTTCTGGGTCAGAATCCTTTGGGGGCCCCTTTCCCCAGCATGCATATTGGCATGTCAACAATGTGGAATAATCCACCATCACAAATCCTTTGACCCAGGCCTTGCATGAAACTTTTTGTGCACTTACAGCTATTTAAAAAAAAAAAAAAAAAAGAGTCTCGCTCTGTCACCAGACTGCAGTGCAATGGCACAATCTTGG
Organism: Homo sapiens; assembly: GCF_000001405.40. Taxonomy (NCBI): domain Eukaryota; kingdom Metazoa; phylum Chordata; class Mammalia; order Primates; family Hominidae; genus Homo; species Homo sapiens. The sequence goes on along the minus strand of NC_000015.10, from coordinate 85,958,241 downwards.
CTCACTGCAACCTCCACCTCCCAGGTTCAAGCAATTCTCCTGTGTCAGCCTCCCAAGTAACTGGGACTACAGGCGCATGCCACCACACCCAGCTAATTTTTGTATTTTTAGTAGAGCCGGGGTTTCACCATATTGGCCAAGATGGTCTTGATCCCTTGACCTTTTGATCTGCCTGCCTCAGCCTCCCAAAGTGCTGGGATTACAGGCATGAGCCACCGAGCCCAGCCACAGCTCTTTTTCACATGGGTCAGAGTTTCAGTCCGTCAGCTTCAGTGGAGTTTTTTTTTACTATTTGTAGGAGTATTTATCTAGGGTGTTACCAAGCCAGCTGACTATCTTGAGATTTCTGGATCTCCTGTGATCCCAGTTTGTCTTGGCTGTAGGAATCTACAAAGAGAGCGACCCTTTACCTAAAAACTACATGTGAAAAATCAACTCCTAGTCTTACATTTACAGTCCTGTATACCATTGTCTTCTGCTGGTCCTGATGTAGTCCCACTGTTTCCAGAAGTCTTTTTTAAGCATTATATTTCTAAAAAATATTTTGAGACAGAGTCTCGCTCTGCTGCGAAGCTGGAGTGAAGTGGCACGATCTCAGCTCACTGCAACCTCCACCTCCTAGGTTCAAGTGATTCTCCTGCCTCAGCCTCCTGAGTAGCTGGGATTACAGGTAGGTGCCACCACGCCCAGCTAATTTTTGTTTGTTTTTTTTTAAAGTAAAGACGGGATTTCACCATGTTGGCCAGGATGGTCTCGATCTCTTGATCCACCTGCCTTGACCTCCCAAAGTGCTGGGATTACAGGCGTGAGCCACCGTGTCTGGCCCTAGAAAATATTTTTATAGATGAAGAATCAGGCTAACCTAGTGAATATGATCTTGCAATTTCCATGATCACCCACTTAAAGATCAAAACATGCGCTGTGTGCTTTTCATAGTTGTTAGTGCTATGAAGGCAAAAATGCCTTCTATGTTAATTCCTATTTTACTAGGCACCAATGAATTCATGCTGTGTGCTGGAAATCAACTAAATCAGTATCCTGTTCTTAGAGCACATTAAATGTGTCTATGCACATTTGCTGAAAATCCTTTCAGTATAAACCAGTTTAAGTTTTCTGTAGGGTAGGTAAGAATTCTAACTTCCTCTTCCTGTCAAAATTCTCTCCTGCTGAGATGGTGTTCCACTGGTTGAGCTCTGCATGAGGAGGAAGTTGTAAACAGCTTTACTGGTCATCTGTCTGCTTTATGTGTGATAGACTATTACTTACCAGAAAATATGCATATCGCATCTCTAGAAAAAAAGAAAAAACAGTCATTCAATTTCAAGGTGTACTTTTTATTTAAGTAAAAATAATTTGTACTGACTTTTCACTTGTCTATTCTAGTTTCAAAGGATAAGCTACAAGCAATGTGTTTTTTTCTTTACTGCTATGTTGATTGAACGCTTTTGTACTATGACTAAAATGTGAGGTATTTTGCAAGAACCATTAAAAAAAGGACTTTGGAAAGCTGATGGCTTTCCCAGGGTGAATCACTCTGGGGTCTAAGATTTATTTACATAAAGGAACCATAATAGTTTATGTAAAGTGTTATTCACACTTATTAAAGAAAATGAGGCTCAGAGAGATTAAGAGACTAGTCCAAAGTCACACATCTGGTAAATTACTGAGTTGAACTTGAACTCAGAAGCCATTTGTCTGCTTAGTATAACAAGAAAGACAGATCACCTGCCTCAGTCCTTCACATTTTCACCATTAAAATGTTATGTTTGGAGATCAGCATTGTTTCTAAATGTTGATGGTAAAATGTAATGTCTCACTAGCACTCTTTAATACCCTAAATCAAATTACCTAGCCTCCAAAAACAGATTCAGAGTAAAAAATGAGACCAGAGAGGATAAAGTTTGAGGTTGTATAGATGAACACAGTTTTCATCTTAAAGTCAATTCTGATCAGTTGATAGTGGCTTCCTGGAACATTATATTGTGAAGCCTTCTGGGGTTACATCAGGGCTCAGCAGTATAAAGGATCATGATCGACTAGTGATGTCTGCCATGGACACTGTTGAGGGAGTAGCAGCATATGAGTCAGGTATTTACCATCTCTGATAGGGATTGTGGGATTCCACAAAATAAGGTCAGGCTTGGAAATTGTTAGGGCTGGGAAGAAGACAGTGAGGCTGGAAAACCAGCTAATAAAGTAAGCAGCCAAAGACATTATTTTCCTCAAGTTCATATGCTTGAAGGAGAAAGTGAAAAATAAGGTCTTAGTAAAATGCAAACTACAAGTTAGGAAAGCTTGCTTCTAGTTTCAGCTCTGCAGTTAATTATCTTTACATTGTTAATTGACCTCATCATTTCCCCTTTCTAGGTCTTGGTTTCCTCATCTGTAAAATGAAGATATTTGAATAGCAAATCCCCAAACTACTTCCACAACAAGGATTCCACAAGTCTATGGTGCTTGTTACTGAACTAAGTAAAGAAAAGGGAAAATTATGGGCAGGAGAAGTGAGTAAAATCTGGTCACACTCTTTTCAATTTTCTATTGGAGGAGTATGAGATACCGAAGTAGAAATCAATACTTTCGTTTTGACTGTGAGTCTTAGACATGAATTCAACATTCAAGTAGAAATGACATAAGTCTAGAGCTCAAGGGAGAACCCTGGGTAGACAAAATAAACTTGGGGGTCATCAGTAAATAGATGGGACTGGATAAGGCCTCCTGGGGAGAGAATGTAACTAGAAAAGAAAAGAGGGCCAAGGGGTGTTTCATCATTTAGAATTTAGACAGAAAGGGAGTGTTCACTGAGGCAAGGAGAGAACCATGTGACTGTCATGGAAGCACAGGAAAGAAAGGATTTCAAGGGATGAGTCGTCAGCTCAGCCCAAAGCTGAGAAACTGAGTCACATGGGGAAAGAGAATTAGCTTTGGTAAGTTATAGCATTTGTGACCTTGATTTTTTAAAAAATGGTTCACAGGAGTGACAGGGACAAAACCTGATCAGAGTGAGAAGAGGAGATACTGGGAGGTGAGGAGGTGGGGAAAGCCATGACCCACAGCCTATTGTTGGCTTATAATGTTTTTGTGAGAATCTATGTAAAGGGTCTATCATTGCGCTTGATACACCAGGCGCTCAAAAATACAAATTTCTGTCCCTAAAGGGGATTTAAATCCACTTGCATTTAATCTGTCTGCCATTTTCCACAGAGATGGGTTTCTGACAACCTGTCAGATTCTGGTATTAAAGGTCTTTTATCTTGACCTTGGCCCTGGGGGAGCACTGATAGAGCTGTAAGGCTGGCCTGTCATCCTTTCACCTCCCATAGTCCTATTGAATAAATATCTCATCAGGCAGGCCACTGCTAAGGTCAGAATGACGCCTCATTCCAGGAAAGGAAATTGATCATGTGCAAACAACTCCTAAGAAATCCTGCCAGGGAGGGTATGTGAGAGGCCCATAAATAATGCAATGAGGACTGTCATCCTCAGCCCTGAATTCTACTGACCCTCCAATAGGAACTGTGTAGTCAATATCCTAGTGCCACCAAACAAGTGTGGTTACTGATCACTTATGCATCTTGCCCTCCTACAGCAGAGACACTAGGCTATCCATGATAACTGAGCCTCACACTGGTCAATTCATCCATAAATTTGTTCAACATGTATTTCCAAGCACCCATCTGCAGAGCACATTTCTCCACATTGTAGGATATGCAATGAAGTCTATGACATTGATGCAAAATGTATAAACAAATACCCATTGAGCATCTGCTAAGTGCCAGGGCTCTAGGCTCCAGGGTTCAGCAGTGAACAAGACAAGCCAAATTCCGAGCCCTTGTGGAGCTTACATCCTAGTGGCTATGGGCTCTGAGCTCAGTAATCTTATAAATCAGGTCAGGGAAAGCAAAACACCTAATGTGAAGAATGAAATACCATAGACCAGATGAAATAGTTAAATGTCCACCTGTCAGTTCAAGTGCCAGGGGCATTAGGGCCCATTCTAGGCACAAACCCAAAGGAGCAAAAGTCTCAAGGTGGACATGAATAAGACTGTCCAAAACATGGAGTTCCATAGACTGAGGAATGATTATGGAGGACCTTCAAATCAGCCTAGAGAGTTTAGGCTTTGTTTGTGGGAACTCATGAAGGGACTCTAAGCATGGTAAGGACATGACAAAAGCAGGGCATGAGGAAAATCTTGAGCTACCATGTGCAGAACAGACAAGGGAAGATGAAAGGAAAAGGTACCTGCGTCCTGAATCCCAACTCTAGGCCAGGTGCCTTACCTATAGGACCTTGATTTTTCTTCTCCTTAAATTTTTAAATACTATTTGGAAATATCACAAACTTATAAAAAAGTTGCAAGTAGAGTTTTTTTCTTGAACCACTTGAGAACAAGTTGCAAATTGGAGTCCCCGTCACCTCCAAATTCTCTTGTGTTGAATTTTCTATACAAAAGGACATTCTCCCACATCAATGTAATAAAATTATCAAAATCAGGAGCTTAACACTGATCATTAGCACCACTTGGTCTTCTCCCCAAATTCAAGTTTCATCAGTGTCCCAACAATATCCTTTAGAGTAAAATGGTCCAGTTCAGAATCAGGCATTGTGTTTAGCTCCCATGCCTCTTTAGAATCCTTCATGACACTGGAACAGTTTCTCAGTCTTTACGGAATCTCATCTGAATCATTCAACAACCTTACTATGTGGATGCTGTTATTATCCCAATGTACAGAAAAAGAAACTAAGGTTCTAAGAGGTTCAGTAATGAGCCAAGGTGCCCCAGTGGCTGAGCTCCAAAGCATGTGTGGTTCAGAAACCCAGCATCTGACATGAACAGGTGAGCATTTAGGACTCATTCCAGTGATGGCAGTGTGAGAAGGAAAAGGAACCAGTCCAAGGACGTGGCAATAGAAATGCAGAGAGGAGGCCAGGCATGGTGGCTCACGCCTGTAATCCCAGCACTTTGAGAGGCCGAGGTGGGCAGATCACGAGGTCAGGAGATCGAGACCATCCTGGATAACACGGTGAAACCTCGTCTCTACTAAAAATACAAAAAAATTAGCCGGGCATGGTGGTGGGCGCCTTTAGTCCCAGCTACTCAGGAGACTGAGGCAGGAGAATGGCATGAACCTGGGAGGCAGAGCTTGCAGTGGGCTGAGATCATGCCACTGCACTCCAGCCTGGGTGACACAGTGAGACCCCATCTCAAAAAAAAAAAAAAAATGGAGAGAGGAAAGTGGATGTGAGGGACCACACCAAGGAGCCAACCAGTGACTAGCTTTTTTGATTGACTCCCACAGCAAAGGTTAAAAGATGACTGAGGTTTTGAGCTTAGGCAGCTGTTGAGGATTGGATGAGTGGGAATGACAGGAAGTAAACTCTTGTCTAGGCTGCAGACATTTCCGCTTGATGGGAGGTTTCAATGAGCTATTGGAATGGAACCTCTACATGGGGAGTGGACCACTATAGGAAGATCTTCATCTCAGAAGCAAGGAGAACCTCATATTGAAAGCTGAGGGCATCCCCCAGGACTGTAATGCCATTTCATCTGCTTTCTGCAGATGAATCTTTTTGAAAATGTCATCTGCAGGTAATTTCTTTTAAAAATGCAATTACCATTTGGAGGGGTAATTTATTAAATCTGTGTAAACTTATTTTAAATTAGTTTAAATCATCAGTTGCCTACACAATAAGAACTTTAAAACATTGTGAGAGCTTTAGTCACCGGGGAGATTGTGGAGAAAGGACCCTGAAACTGAGAGGAAAGTTTTACAAGGAAGAAAGAGGCACCAAATAAAGACACCAACTTCTCAGAGTGGCCAAGCCAGAGAAGCAAGCAATACCAATGGAAGCTCTACTATGTGCCTGGCATAGTAATCCAGGCTTTTTGCTGTCAGTGTCTCATCTGCCAACCCTCATGTCAGTGGTACTGTTCACACTTCAGAGATGAAGAAAACAGGGCTCAAAAAGGTCAAACACATTGTCCAAGCTCTTCTTCCCAACATGGTTGTGATGGAGCTAAGATTCAAACCCAGGGCTCTTCAATCCCAAAGCCCAGGCTGTCTACCAGGCTACCTGCCTTCAAGACCCCTGGAGATTCAGCACTATTGGGTAGATTAAGTTTATGGCTGAATTTGACCACAAGAGGCCAGAAGGGTTCAACTGTGGCTTGTAGTTCTACTTGGAAAAGGGCCTGGCTGGTGTGACAGAAGCATTGGCAGAGCAGATAGATGGGCCATAAACAGCTTGCTGGTCTCAGGCCATCTCTCTTCTTCCCCTCTAAGAGCTTGTAGATTGGACTGGAGCAAGCGGCAGAAACTTCCCACTTCTCCTCACACATACATTGAATGGGTAAGGTGGTTCTGCACATCACACAGGTGCTGGAAGAAATGAAGACATGCACTCAGAGGTAGCAGAACCCAAGGGCAAATCGTATCAGCCATATGGGCTTACTTCTTCATGAGACCTGCTGAGCCCAAACCCAAGGATGTGCTGGATCAAAGAGCCACCTATGTGTTAATTCAATGACAGGCAATCTCACCTAGAGATCTAAGTTATTTCAGTGATCACTTGCCTTTGGACAACACTTACCTCCCTCTGCCCCAAGTCACCACACCCTCTTCTTTATCAGGCCAGCTTCCCTCTGAGGGCCCAAGACATTGTGGATCATCATCAGGCATGATGGAGTACAATAGAAAAGACAGACAGACTTTGGTTCTAAAATCCCTAGTGGGTCACCTTGGACTTTATTCTTCATTTCTAAAATGCAGTAACAGTAAACACACTAGCATACAGTTTCATTTTAATAATTAAATGAGATACCATCTACTAAGTATTTAGTACAGGTCCTAGCCCTAAGGAAGTGCTCAATTAGCTAATCTCAAAAAAAAATAAAAATAAAAATAAACAGCTCCGGACTTGGACAAGGGCAGACTTTATTTGAAAGGATCATTTCAAGAGAAGGGTATGAGACTTGCAATAGGGGGTACAAGGACTGCTGAAAAAAAAGGGGTGGAGGGGAATGCTCCAACCATGAGATCCGCAAATGCCTCAAGGGTTAGGAAGAAAGGGGCTTTTCCTTTTAAGGAGGAGTCAACAAGGTTAGGAAGAAGCTGGTGTGGGGAAGTAGGATGGAAAAGAGGCACAGATGGAGGTATTCTGATCTGACAGTAGATCAGACACAAAAAGGGAAAGAGGAGTTCTTTAATCTTTGCTATTTTCTAGGACCACAGGGCTGGGGTGAAATTCAGCCTCACTACAGTGAAAGCTTGTTTAATCTCCGTAAGCCTCTGTTTCTTCCTCTGTAAAATGGGGGTAGTAATAGCTACTTCCCAGGACTGCTGTGCAGATTAAATGAGACAAGATATGCTAAGTGCTGACCAGGGCTCCTGGACACAGTGAAACTAAATATTGTTGCTTTTTTTAATGTTGCATATCTACCATGTATCAAGCATTGTGCTCAGCATTGTAACAAAAAATATTTTGAGAAGATTTTGGGATGCTGAAGCAGGAAAGGCCTGGGACAGGTGCGGTGGCTCACAGATAGCTTCTATACCTTCCTTACTGCCCTTTTCTAGGGAATGAGAGAGACACAAGTTTGATGATCTCCATTGACCCTGGACTTCACAATTCTAAATCACAGGCTGTCTGAAATGAACATAGCATGGTATCCAGGAGATTTCCCCCAAGCAGCAATTTCATTAGTCTTCCCAGATGCAGAATACTGGCACTGTACTGATTCTGCTCTCTCACCTGGGCTGGGTGCACGCTGAGTCCACCTTTTCTACAGATGGTGATGGCTGAGCAGGGCCATGCTCTCCATGTGAACCCAGCTTAGGATCAGTGACCTCAGACACCCCCTCTGAAGCCCTCAGTCAGCTAGATGTCTCCTTCTGGGACCAGGCAGAACTTGCCCTGTGAGTGGTGGTATAAATATAGTTCCCTCTGGGCAGCCAGCCTGAGCCGCGCCAACTGACTTTCCATTACCACCTGCACTTCACATGCTACGTGGTTTCACTACTCAGAGCTGCTCAGCCACTCGGGGTTCAGTATTCAAGAGCTCTGGGAAGCAGGGCCAACTTGTATTTTGATGATTTTCTTTCTGCCATCTCAGCACTGTAGACACCCTCCTTTCTGAGTGCTAGGAAAATGCAGCTGGACCTGATCTGGGTTGTACCATGAATACCTTGGTATATTTTCACTTGGTATTCAGCTCCCACTAGACCTGAAATACACTAAACCCGAAGCTTTTTCATGGAAGTCACAGGAAAACATGCTTTTGGGTTGCTTCTCTGGTGCCTTTCTACTATGGAAAATGGGACTTAAACAGAAAATGGCAATACAAAAAAACCATTTTCTGGCAGGTCGTCTTTGTAACTTGATGAAGGCCCCAGATCTGATCCGCATTTGGCCTGTGGACACATTATCAGGTCAACACACAATCGCCTGCACATTTTAATTTGGTTGACATTTTTTAAACCTAGAGATTTCACCTAAAAGTCAAGATTTCTGGCTTTCCTTGAAGAAAAAAAAATCAGATGTGAGAACTCTTGGGCCCATATTTCTACGTAGCAGAATTGACTGGAGCTAAGCTGCAGCTGCTCCCATTACAGGGCATCACTCTCCAGCTCACCACGGTCCCCAGATCTCATTCACTGATGGATCAAAGTTATCGAACACCTGCAATAGCCCAGACTGTCCCAGGTCCTGCTGCTACAGTGGTGAACAAGGGAGAGGAGTCCCCCGCTATCACAGAAGGTGCATGCTAACATCCCCCTTGTTTCCTGACACTGAGGTAGGTGGCAGCTGACATTCATCATCACACTTGTGCCTTTGTTTTCCTTTTAGTTGAGTAAAGAGGACAGTATTGCTCAAATAGACCCACATCACTCTTGGGTTACTAATGGGCCCCTGTAGATGTTTGCATGGTAATACCAACTCCAATCTTTACCTGTCCAACCCACTAAAGTGAAAATGCTGGAAAGGGTAGGAATGCAACATGCATTTTTGTATTTTCAGTGTTTATGTTAGTATCTGCCATAAGTAGTTTTTTGGTTTTTCATTTGTTTTGAAACAAGGTCTTGCTCTGTTGCCCAGGCTGGAGGGCAGCAGCACACTCTTGGCTCACTGCAACCTCTGTCTCCTGGGCTCAAGTGATCCTCCCACCTCAGCCTCCCAAGTAGCTGGGACTACAGGCAAGCACCACTCCACCTGGTTAACTTGTATTTTTGGTTGAGATGGGGTTTTACCATGTAGCCCAGGCTGGTCTTGAACTCTTGGGCTCAAGCTGTCTGCCCACCTTGGCCATCCAAAGTGTTGGGACTACAGGCATGAGCCACTGCACCTGGCCAAGTATAGTCTTAGCAAATAGAAATATTGACATAAAAAGATGTACATAAGGAGTTGGTATAATCAAAAGAATTAAAAGGAGAACTTGGAGTATGTATAGGGGATCTTGGTTCAACTAAGGAAAAGTGACCCCAGGTTGCCTTGAGCTGCAGTTACCTTGACATCTTTCCATGTCTGACCAAGTATAACTACCAAAGCTGTTTCTTCTTTGGTGCCTGTCTCAATTATGAGTCCTCTGTTGATGTACCACCCTAGATCATGGCTATTGCAGGTCTTAGGTTTAGAAAACAGGATATGAGGATTCACCTGTTGCTGAGCAGCATCAGCAGGAGGTGTGGAATAAGCCTTTGAGTCAGACAAACCCCTTGATGCACACTAGATAACCCCAAGGTGTCAGGACAATAGACCACCATGGTACCTCTTCGACCAATAGTTTAACTGGTGCAAGTCTCTCCAACAGGACAGACACCTAGTCATCCTAGATGGCAAAGTTTAAATGGTAATGACCAAAAGATAATGACTCAGGGAAGAGGAGCAAATGCTGAACACAAGGCAGGACCCTGCAACCTGGGTTCCAGCAATGAACAGGAGGTGGGGCGTCCAGGGGATGGAAGCAGCAAGTCAGCTCTGCAAACTGAGAAAGCTGAGAGCAGCAGGTGCAGCCTCGCTACATTCATCCCATCCCATCCCTGGAAGGCACTGATGCTCTTCAGGGCACTAGAGGCTCCCAAATGTTCTAGACAGAAGGACCGCACTCGGCTCCAGATGGACCTGGTTGGTTTCTTTGATAAGTCATTTAGCACTGGGTTGGGGAACTCTTAGCTGACAGAATGGCCCGAAAGATCCAAGACCGATAAAATGACCACTTGTAAAGCCATCTGGTTACCTGCCTGAGTCACTGCTGCCCCTCTTCATTGTATCGTTACATCTTACTGCTTTACACAAGAAACAGGGACAAGGATAGAGAAAAGGGGAACAAAGCAGTCCAGCTGAACACTTGCTGGAAAGGGTAGGAATATTTCAGTATCTGCCATAAGTAGAGTCTTTTTTTTTCTTTCTGACACAAAGTCTCATTCTGTCACCCAGGCTGGAGTTCAGTGGCTCAATCTCAGCTCACTGCAACCTCACCTCCTGAGCTCAAGCAATTCTCCCACTTCAGCCTCCCAAGTAGTGGAAATACAGGTGCATACCACCACACCTGGCTAATTTTGTAGAGATAGGGTTTCCTCTTAGCCCTCTGAGTGCATTTCCTCATTAACCCTCTCTCCAAACCAATGAAGAGATGCTTTTATCCTCCGCATTTTAGACAGGCAAAGATTAAAACTTGGAGGAGTTTAGCAACTCACTCCAGTCACACAGCCAGTAAGGGAGTAAGGAGAAGGGATTTGAAATCAGGTTGATCAAATTCCAGAGGTTAAGCTCTTCACCACCAGACTAGCCTCAAACATGACAATGTCTAAACTGTGAACCACTCCAGCAACTATTTTGGTGGGTGAAGTCTACAAACAGTCAAAATTAGGCAGTCAAAATTAGGCTTAAAGAGTCTGAGTTCACACTTTCTTGTGATCCCTCCCCCTCCCACGAACTCCCAACATAACAGATGGAGAGGGGATAAAATCTGCTTAGAGCTTTCCAAGGAAATCCAAAAGCTGACTCCTTCTCCTGGGCTCTTCTAATGCCTCCTAATCCCAAGAGATAATCAGAGCACCAGAGGATGAAATATTGAATTCCAAGGGGGCAGTGCCAAGCTCCCAGGGCAGAGGAAGACCGTGAAGTTTCTTGGAGCTGGAGGTGGTTAACCAAGGCCACATCATCAAGCTCAGGGCATGGAGAGAGGCTGCTTAACTGGGCCCTCGCCTCTCTACACACTTCTGCCCTTACAGCCAGTTCCATGGCTTAAAATACCAGCTGACCACTGGGATTCTGTGTTCCAGACCCACATATGCAAAGTGGGTGGTCTACCTGTGATATGGTTTGGCTGTGTCCCCACCCAATCTCATCTTGAATTGTAGCTCCCACAATTCCCACGTGTTGCGGGAGGGGCCCGGTAGGAAGTAATTGAATCATGGGGGTGGGTCTTTTCCATGCTGTTCTGGTGCTAGTGAATAAGTCTTAGGAGATCTGCTGGTTTTATAAGGGGGAGTTTTCCCTGCACAAGTTTTCTGTCTTTTCTGCCGCCATGTAAGACATGTCTTTCGCCTTCCGCCATAATTGTGAGGCCTCCCTAGACTCATGAAACTGTGAGTCCATTAAACCTCTTTTTCTTTATAAATTATCCAGTCTCAGGTATGTCTTTATCAGCAGCATGAAAATGGGCCAATATAACCTGGCATCTCAATGTAATGTTTTCTGGACAGAATTCTTAGATTCCGCAACCAAAACCTGTCCCTGCTCCCCCTATTCTCCCCATCAATAAATAGCACTACTGTCTGCCCAGGTACTAAAGCTACAGTCCTGGGACTCAATCTTTTCATTAGCTCTTATTATAAAAAAAGTTCAATACATATAAAAATAAACAGAATAGTACAGTGAACCCCTGTGACTCAACTTCAACAATGATCAACTCCTGGCCACTCCTATTTCATCCGGACATCCCCTCCCCTTCCTCCCTCCTGGATTATTTTGAAGCAAGTCCTACATCTCAAAGTTGATCAGTAGACTCCTAGGGATCCCCCAAGTTACTTCCCGAGAAACTTCCAGGTCAAGTCTATTTTTATTCTATTACTAAGACATCATTTGCCTTTTTCACTGTATTGACACTTGCAATAACAGCACAAAAGCCATGGTGGGTAAGTGGCTGGTGCCTTAGCTCTGGCCAGGGCAGCATGACAGCACTGTGGTCTCCACTACCACTCACTCACATTGAAATAAACACCAGTGAGCCGGGCGCGGTGGCTAATCCCAGCACTTTGGGAGGCTGAGGTGGGTGGATCACCTTAGGTCAGCCTGGACAACACGGTGAAACCCCATCTCTACTAAAAATACAAAGATTAGCCAGGCATGGTGGTGGGCACCTGTAATCTCAGCTGCTCGGAAGGCTGACGCAGGAGAATCGCTTAAACCTGGGAGGTGGAGGTTGCAGTGAGCCGAGATCGTGCCACTGTACTCCAGCCTGGGCAACAGAGCGAGACTCCATCTCAAATAAATAAATAATAAACACCAGTGCCCCTTAGGATGTGCTTGATAAAGCAGTAATAATTATTAATTTTGTCAAATCTCAACTTTCAGGTACACATCTTAATACTATGAGCAACCAAGTGAAAGTATGCATAAAGTGCTTTATACTGCATACCAAAGTATAATAGTTGCCTCCTGGAAAAGCACTTGTACAAATGTTTGAGTGACAAGCTAACCTAGTTGACTTTTTCATGGAACGTTATTTTTACTTGAAAGTTCGACTAACAAACTCTGGTTATACAGACTCAGGTATTTGGCATATATTTTCTCAAAAATGAATAAAGTAAGACTGTCATTTCGAGGAAAACAACTGACAGCATTTTTGTTGTCAACTTGTTGCCAATGATATGCTTCAAATTTTAAAGTAAAATGTAGAATTTGGGGAAAATTATGTCTGCCACCGTAAGTATGATAGCTTCCCACTACTTAAAAACTTCTCTGACAATATCAGTGACGAAATTAACAAGTGTAATATTTTATATTGTATAATGAAATCTGTCAAGATTTGGAAGATGTGACTATTTAATAAACTAGTATTTACAGCCCAGGCACAGTGGCTCATGCCTATAATTTCAGCACTTTGGGAGGCCGAGATGGGAGGATCACTTGAGCCCAGGAATTTGAGACCAGCCTGGGCAACAAAGTGAAACCCTGTCTCAACAAAAAATATAAAAATTAGCTGCGCATGGGGGTGCACACCTGTAGTCCCAGCTACTCAGGGAGTTGAGCTGGGAGGATCACTTAAGCCAGGGAAATCGAGGTTGCAGTGAGCCAAAATCACACCACTGCTCTCTAGCCTGGACAACAGAGTGAGACCCTGTCTCAAAAAAAATAACCAAAACTAATATTTACAAGTGACCAATGAATAATACAAAATCATGCATGAGTAAAAGATTCATTTAAAGCATAAGATAGACCAATGGATTATAATGGAACGGAGTACAAAAGTTTGACTACAGATAAAAACTACCACTTATCAAGTTTTGATACAATATCAAAGAAGAATAACCACAGTTATGTGAAAATGGCTATTAAAATACTCCCACCTTTACCAAGTATTATTTGTATGAAGCCAAATTTTGTACACTCCAATCAAAACATATTGCAACTGATTAAATTCAGAAGCCAATATGTGAATCCGGCCATCTTCCATTAAGCCAGACTATCAAAGATATTTGCAAAAAAAAAAAAAAAAAAAAACAATAGCACTCTTCTCATCAGTTTCTTTAAAAATGTAGTTATTGTCTTTAAAAACATGTCATTTGTTATAAATAAATGTATTTACATTTTTTGTTTTAATTTCTAATGCGGTAAATATCAATAACTACAACTCACATTTTAAAATGCCCTTTGACCTCAGTGTCATGCAATATATTCATGTAACAAAGTTGCACTTGTACCCCCTGAATCTAAAATAAAAATTGAAATTATAAAAATGTATATAAACAAAATGAAATAATGCTCTTTGGGGTCTTCAATAATTTTTTAGTACATAGACGTCTCGAGACTAAAATATTTGAGAACTGCTGCTTTATATTGTCAATATTTCAGTTTGTATCTCTTAAAGATAAGGAGCCTGTTTTTAACAAAATCACAATCTCTTAAAAGTAACAGCTGGCGGCAAAGCTGTTGAACAGAATTTAGAATTGAAACAGAATCCACATCTTGCAAAATGTACCCTGACTCACAGAGAGAATCTGCGCTAGACTAAGCCATGAAGCACATCATAGACTATTTAAAACAAAAATTCTTTTTATACCAGTTCATTCAAACCCATATGTTCCAAGTAGAGCAGACAAATTGACCTTACTGACAAATTAACAGAGCTATATACAGATTCTAAAGTCCTAAAGACCACTCACTATTGCAGCAGCTTCCAAGATAACAGAATTCTGGTCAATTCCTGCCAAGACTATCTACAACTAACTCCAGCCCCCAAAACCTTATAAGCAGCCATTCCCTGACTCCTCTCTTTTGAGATACCCCATGGTTCTCCATGATGTACACGCTTCCTTGCTGCAGCAAATAAGCCTAACTTTTTTCTTCTTTACTACAGCTGTATTCTGGTATGAACTATAACTCATGGGAACTGACAATCCTAAATTCAAGCCATCATCTTCTCCTGCCCAAACCACTGCAGCAGCCTCCTGCCTATTCTCCCTGTTCTTCTCACAACTGCTGCATAACAATTATCCCCACACTTAGCAGCTTACATTTATTTATTATTTATTACTACAATTTGCTCATGATTCTGTAGATCAGTAATTTGGAAAGGACACTAGTGTCTGTTTTCTGATGTCTGGAGCCTCAGATGGGAAGCCTCAAAAACTGAGGGTGTCTTGATGGCTGGAAGCCAGACTCATCTAAAGCTTATGCACTCACATGTCTGGCACTGGGCTGGGAGAACGAAAAGTCTGGGACTGCCAACTGGAGAACCTACATGAGGCCCCTCCATGCGGCTTTGAGTGCTCACAGCATGGCGGCCTGGGGGAGAAGGGAGGGTCGACTTCTTTCATGACATCCCAGGGCTCTGAGCACAGGTTCCCATGTGGAAACTGCCACTGTTTTTTATAACCTCACCTTGGGAGTCACAGAGCATCATTTCCAGTGCATCCTATCCATTAAAAGCAAGTCAGAAGTCTGCCTAAGTTCAAAGGGATGTCCATTAGACTTCGTCTCTTGATAGAACGCTTGAAGGTTCAAGAATATGTGGGATGGAAGATGTTCTTTGTGGCCATCTTGGGGAAACATAATCTAGCCCAATTCCTTTTAGTTTTGTTTATCAACCACCTTGTATTCAGTGGACAAAGTGTTACTTCTAAAATTAGCAAAACCATGTCACAGCCTTGCTGGGAATCGTTCAAAGATTTCTCATCAACTTGAGGAAATCCAGGCATTTTACTACAGCCCGGTAGGCCCTGTATATCCTTGTTCCTCCCTACGTTATTTCCCACCAGCCGGTCCTGCTCACTGCAGCTGCAATGTTTCTCCCCAGCTCAGAAACCTGGATCCTTATCCCTCAAGGTTCAGCTTCAAGGGAACTTTCTCAAAGAGGTCCTCCCTAACAATGCCCTGAAAAGTAGCCCCACAACCCAGAGTTAAACTAACTGATCGACTGAGGGCAAGATAAATAACAGACATGTTGCTGCAGAATTCAGAATTCTCCAAGCAACTTTCAAATTTTGCCCTGTGAAACATTAGTTTAGCCCAATGTTGAACAGATATTATTTTAAAATACGAATTCATAGCAAATCTCCGTCTAAGAACTTGAGTAAAACAAAGTTGCAGTTGTTTTTTTTGTTGTTGTTTTTTGGTTGGTTTTTTTTTTTTTGCGTGTTTGTTTTTTGTTTTTCTTTTCGTTTTTGGGAGATGGAGTCTCACTCTGCTGCCCAGGCTGGAGTGCAATGGCACAATCTTGGCTCACTGCAACCTCCGCCTCCCAGGTTCAAGCAATTCTCCTGCCTCAGCCTCCCAGGTAGCTGGGATTACGGGTTCCTGCCACCGCACCCTGCTAATTTTTGTATTTTTAGTAGAGACAGAGTTTCACCATGTTGGCCAGGCTGGTCTTGAACTCCTGACCTCAAGTAGATCCACCCACCTCAGCCTCCCCAAATGCTGGGATTACAGGCATGAGCCACTGTGCCTGGCCATTTGCTTTACAGCATGATCACCTCTAGTCCATAATATGCTCAGTACATGCCAGATCTCCATGAGAGGGATATAACAGGCAATGGTCCCCAACTTATGCAACCACAAGACCCTTTTTTCAAGTAGTATCTCCAGGCTCCACTTTGCAAAACTCTATTCCAAGCAATTAGGTTCTACCTGCATCCCTGACCCACATCCTTGAAGGTGAGTTACAAATAACAGGAAACCTGTGGAAGGCCCAACTCCCCTAGGAATGGCCTGATTGGCTGCTATTGAGGTCATACTTTTGACTAATGCTTATGATTGGCTGTCAGTAACACTCCACTCATAGTAACAGTGTCCAGCAGATATATGAGCCTCTCATCTAGACATGTGAATTATATTCTTTAGAGCAGTGAGTCATTGAGGCCAGGGACTGCTGAGGATTGCAATTTTTTACTGGGCCAAGAACCTCAGAGGCTGGCTCCAGGCCTGCTCCCATATAGGAAAAGCATGTCTACAGCTTCCCAGAAGCAGCCTGGCTGGCCCTGGGAATGGGAGAATGGGTTCATCAAGGGGCTATAACCTGGACAGCTCAAAGGAGGTGATTTGTCTCTGATGTGCCTAATACTCAGTTCCCAGAATATATCTCCGAGACTACTGCGGGGGAAAGAAAGGTTACATTTTTAGTAACTGCCTCTCTCCTATAGTGCTTGCTGGAAATTCTTTGGGGGTTGATCTTATCAGAAAAGTCAAACAAAATATTGTTATAGATTAACTAAAGTTGGTCCTCTCTCCCATGCACCCACCACATAATTGCCAAAAAAACAAACTAAGTTTGATTTTTAAAATCCCTCAGCCCTTCTTTTCTCAAAAGCTGGTGCCATAAAGAAAAAAATAAAGCCTCTAGTCCTGAGGGTGGAATCAGCATTTTTCATAGTAATGACAGCTAACATACTGAGCCCTTGCTGTGTGCAGGGCACTGTGGTAAGCAAATCATGAGCCATTTCTCTTCACAGCCAACCTATAACACTAGTATTACATATGTCCCCATTTTATGGATGGGGAACCAAGGTACCAAGAGGTTGCTGACTTGTCCAAAATTGCACAACTAATAAGCAGAAGAGCAAGGGTTTGAATCCAGGTATAGCTGACCTCAAAATATGGCTTTTTTTTTTTTTGAGACAGATTCTCACTCTGTCACCCAGGCTGCAGTGCATTGGCACAGTCTCAGCTCACTACAACCTCTGCCTCCCAGGTCCAAACAATTCTTGTGTCTCAGCCTCTTGAGTAGCTAGAATTACAGGCACACATCACCACACCCAGCTAATTTTTGTATTTTTACTACAGACGGGGTTTTGCCATGTCCATGCTGGTTTTGAACTCCTGACCTCAGGTGATCCACCCTCCTTGGCCTCCCAAAGTGCTGGGATTACAGGCATGAGCCACCACACCTGGCCAAAATATGGCTTTTCATTAGTATAACAACCTAGCAAAGCTGTTGGCTGGTCCCACCTGCGCAGGTACACAGGCTCTAAGGCAATGCTTCTAAGCCTTTTCTATGCATGTGAATGACCAGGGGGGTCTTATTAGAACGCAGATGCTGATTCGGCCTGGGCTAGAGCCTGAAATTGACCTTCCTAACAGGGCCCCAGATGCTGCTGGATGCTGGATGCTGGCCCACCCACCACACTGTGAGGCTGGAAAGCAGCAATGATCCAATTTTGCTGCACATCACAGTCACCTGGGGAGACTTTCCAATCCTGATGCCCAGGCCTCACCCTGCAGCACATAAATCAAAATCTCAGCAGGGCACAGTATCTCATGCCTGTAATCCTAGCACTTTGGGAGGCCAAGGCAGGAGAATCACTTGAGCCCCGGAGTTCAAGACCAGCCTGGGCATCATGGTGAAATCCCATGTCTACAAAAAAAAAAATACCAAAATTAGCCAGGCATAGTAGCATGCACCTGTGGTCCCAGCTACTCAGGAGGCTGAAGCAGGAGGATCACCTGAGCCCAGGAGGCCAAAGCTGCAGAGAGCCAAGATCACACCACGGCACTCTAGCCTGGGCGACAAGAGTGAGGCCCTGTCTCAAAAAAAAAAAAAAAAAAAAAAAAAAAAAAATCTCTGGAGGTGAGTTCCAGGCATCAGTATTTTTTTAAGCTCCCCAGTGACTCCAATGTGCACCCAGACTGCAAACACTGCTCTAAGGGTCATGAGATGCCCTGAGAATAATTAGAAGGGGAAAGTCAGGTCTCCACATGCTGATGAGATGGGTGAATTTCATAATGATGGCATCCTTGTTGGAAGTTTCAGAAAATCATTACCCACACTAATAATTCATGACAGCCTGTAAAATGATGGTGGCCCAGCCTCCTTTCAAGGTAACCATCTGGCATAATCCCAGATAGCAAATGATTCCTCTGACTCCCCACTTCTCCCACTCATGCACACACTCTGTTCACCACTTGTACCTCCCTAGATCCCACCATGTTTTTGTTTTTGTTTTTTTCTTTGAGACGGAGTCTCACTCTGTGGCCCAGGCTGGAGTGCAGTGGCGCAATCTCAGCTCACTGCAAGCTCCGTCTCCCAGGTTCATGCCATTCTCCTGCCTCAGCCTCCCGAGTAGCTGGGACTACAGGTGCCTGCCACCACGCCCGGCTAATTTTTTTCTATTTTTAGTAGGGACGGGATTTCACCGTGTTAGCCAGGATGGTCTCGATCTCCTGACCTCGTGATCCGCCCGCCTCGGCCTCCCAAAGTGCTGGGATTACAGGCTTGAGCCACCACGCCCGGCCGATCCCACCATGTTTTAACTTGAACTTGGAGAAGGCCATCCCCATCCTGGTCTACCCCTCCCACAAAGGCTCAGAACACCAAGCTGCTTTCCCTAACACCCACCCCACTCATCGGATGGAAAGTGCGAACATAAACACCCTGGTGTTATTGAAGCAATGAAGGCTGCACCAGCTGTCTGTTTCTCTTGACTCAAACCAAAATACTCACAACTGACAAATGAAAGAAAAGGAAGAGAGGGGAAGTGTGTCAGAGTTAAAGGCTTAAAAAAGAAGAATTAGGGCAAAGAAAGGATGCCAAAAGAGTCTTATGATATGGATTTGGGCTGTGTTTCCCAGAAGCCTGTGTCTGCTTCCCGCCCACTGCGAGGTCCCCCATGCACACTCATGGGAGGAACTTCCTTTTGCTTTTCTTCCTCAGTCCCCCTAACCCCCAGTTGCTTTTCTCTCAACATCCCCTTTTCCTCTGGGAAGTCAAGAAAAATAAAGAAATCTTTTGATCTCCAAGGCTTAAATAGATGTTCCCCTCTGTAAAGACCTGGAGGTCGGTGGAGATAAGGTCATAAATACACCGGCATGGAGAGAAAAGGATTTGAGAGGCAACAGTCTATTCAAATAGCGAAAAACTATGAGGATGCTTGTTGAGAAATGCCCAGCAATACATCTCACCCACAGGAGCAATGCTTCCAGAGGAAGGAGGCAAATCGATGCATTCCAGAACATCAGGTCCATAAATAAATCAAACTCTTTTAAAGATGAGACATAATTTTCTATGAAAAACCGAGTGGAGTCTACCACGCTTTGCAGCAAAGTGCTCCCTATCCACAAGAGGGAGGCTTCCCAACTTGGCCAAGTGGTGGGTCCCATCACCCTGGAGTTGACGAAGCATATGAGTCCCCTAGGGTGACCAACTTGTCCCAGTTTGCCTGGAACTTTCCTGGTGTTAGCACTGAAAATCCTGCACATCAAGAACCCCCTCAGTCCTAGGAAAACTGGGATGGTGGGTTACCCTGGTCTCTTCCCCCAGCTGGGCCTAGGTCCTGGCCAGCTATTTCAGGCCTCTCTTCCTGAGACTGGGCTCCTCAATCCTCCTTCACCGCTGTAACCCCCACAAATAAGCAAATGAGAAGGCCAAAGATTACCTTAGCTTCCTTGTTACCCAGATTGAGGGTTTCTAATAAGTGATTTGCATTCCAGGTTCACCAAAGTAAGACAGTCCTACATCTTCTCCCTGATGCTGATTAAATGGTTACCTTTGTGCCAATTTTGAATATTTAGCTTTAAATAACAGACGGTCAAGACCGGACCTTGCAACATGCCAGACAAGACGAAGCATTTCTTTTTATTTCTAATATGTAGCGAATGGCCAACTCAGGCTAGAGCAGGTCTCTGCCAAGACCAGATGCCCCAAGAATTGCACTTGGAGAGGCAGACATTCATGATGGACAGATGGGCACCTTCAGGCAGAAACAAACAGGAAACAATTGCATGGGCCATTCTGTCCACATTTCTCATTCATCCCAGTTGTTCTTGTCCTTTTATTTCACCCTGACTTCAAATTCCTTCAGATGTGTCACCTGAGTACTGACATGAGCACTCACCTGGCCAGGCCTCAGACCCATCAGACCCACCTGTGAGCCTAAACAAACCACCAAGAGGTTGGGAAATACTTGGGCGTCTTTCATTTGGAGGGGAGCAGAGACAAGGCAAGCTCCTAAAAGATTAAAACAAGGGTAACGAATGTATAATACTCTAATCACAAAAAAGTATTATGTGTACAATCTCCTTTGGGGATCACATCAAAAAGTCTAAATGTGAAACCCTTTGTGACAATGACCAGGACCAAACAGCATCCCCTTTCTTCTCCCTCCCCCATCAGCTCCCTGAAATCTCAGGGGATCTGAGATCAGCCCACGGGATTCATTTGGAGCTTCACTATTTCTAGGCTGGCACTCACTTTCCAATGCCACTTGCCTCTCCCCAGGGCACAGATGGCGCCAGAAAATTTCAGACATGAAAAATAGGAGAGACCTGTAAACTATGGGAGATGAGAGAGAGGAGAGGCTGGGGTGATACCGAACCTAGTTCTCCTGAAATTAGTAAGGAACAAAAGCCAGGTAGGCAGCCAAGACAAAACAGCTGAAGGGCAATGAAGTGGGTTCACCCCCTGCATGTGGGGTCACAGGCTCTGAAAGACAATGGTGGAAAACCAAGTGCCAATCCTTCCTTTGTTTGTCCCAGAACAAAGAGGAAGGGTGACAGGTGTGTTTTACATAGATGCCTCCTCCAGGGTCTGGGAGGAGGTCACAGCCACTGGGAGTTCAGGGGCTCAAGAGTGTCTCGGTTCTGGGCCCTTTAAGGGATGCTCCACCTTCCCCAGCATTACCTCTATGCTATGGAAAATGATGTGGCCAAAACTGCTGATGCCCAAGACATAAAACGGGAGCAATGCAGAGTGTTACAATAGCTGCATTGCATTCCTCCAGCACCCTCTCCAACCCAGTCCCTCCCACTCTCCACTCAGCTGCACCAAACTGGACTCCCAAACATGGCCCACTTACTCATACTCCCCAGCATGCTGTCATTGATAAAATAGCCATGGTCATTGCTACCAGTTACTAGCAAAGTTGGGATTTGGAGAAGGCATGTCTGATTTCTAAGCTGTATCTGCGTTTTTGTTCCCCTTCCCCAGGCTGTCTAGTTCCTTCTAACTCAGCCTGCAGTGATGTCCTTCTGGGTCTAGAGCAGCTGCCTGACCCTCCTCTGCCTGGGTTCGTTTCCTCTCCTCGGCACCCTCACTTCACCATGTGCTCACTTCTCTACCTAGCCCTATCTCACAGCAGTGAAATCATGCATTAACTCATGTGTGTCTCCCCCTACAACCCAGATAGTGAGGGCCAAGGCACTGGAACATGCTTTATTCATCCTCATATGCCCAGGGGAAACAGGTGCCTAGTACATCATAGGTGGTCCATAGCAAGCCCTGTTGAGGTCAGGACTGTGCCCGCGTCAGTCACCCTTACCTCCCCCATGCAGAGGACAGAGTAGGTTCTCAAATGTGTGTCCAATGCATGCCTATTGATTGATTCAATAAATAATGAACATACCATTCCACTTGGGACTTTATTATTCAAAACCCACATATTCGTATTAATAATTGAAACACATCTTGAAGTTTTTTTTTTCACTTCTCTACTCTGTTTCTCTGATATATACCAAAAAAACGTTTAAGGATTAGATCAAAGACTAACTCCAAGTGACTGTAACAAACTAGACTCATTTTGTGTATGAATTGCCCCTAGAAATCTGAGTTGCCACCCTAATTTGGCCATGCCTTAGGACAATGCAAATTCAGATGCACTGCATGGTCCAGGCCTCCTGATTCATTATGCAGTGAGTTTTCACAGCTGGGGCAAAACGATTCAACTAAATAGATACATTTCAAGCACCTACCGTAAGCAGAACAATGTGCCAGATACTCTGGGAAAAAAATATACATAAGATGAATAGCTATTTTCAAGGACTTTACAAGTAGAAAGTAAGACAAGACATATTTACTAATAACCATGACCTATGGAAACAAGTTCCATGATGAGAGGACCAGAGTGCTGGGGCCAGTGGGGGTGGGAGGGGGGCGGAGGCAGGATACACAGACACCTGAGGGGCTCCTTCTGGCTGGTTGGAGGTGGGCTTTGATGGTGGAAGATCTTAGGCTGGGGCACTCGCTGGAGGAGTAGGATTTTGACAGATGGGATGGGAAGGAGACAGTTATTCTATGAAGGAAGCACAAGAGAATAATTATAAACGGAACAGAGGTGGGGAGGCACAGTACACTTTTCTGGGTACCATGTGTGCAGAGTGAGAGAGTGTGAAAAGGAAAACCCGAGAGGTGAGATGAGCCAAATACTGTAGAATTGGGAGCCAGGTTGGGAAGCCGTCACATATTATGCAAGCAGTGGAGGAACGCTAAATATCTGGAGAGTTTCTAGCATTGTTTGTACAAAGGGGAAAATATATTCCTTTTTTTCAGTGGTCTAGTCACTTAGCTCAGTGACACCCCTGAAACAAGAAAGGCCCTGTCACCACTTGCCCAGGTCCATGCGTGCCTGGCCTAAAGGGCCAACAGAATTGAGATGTGGTGCTACTCCAAAGTGAGCATCCAGAAAGGAAGGACTGGCCTTCCAGAGCCTGGGAGTCTTTTAAATGTTACATAAACACTCTTACTTCCTTCTTCCAATTTCCTTCCTCCTCTTTGGGGTCTTTCCAAGCCAGCACTTGAACATCAGTGAAGAGAAAGCAGGAAATGCTGTCCCAGATCCTGGCGGTAGTTGGCCCCTCAGATCAGCTCTAAAGTCAGCCCACAAGCACATAAGCTCTGGCAAAGGTAACAACAGCTGCTTCTGCCCACTCCATACCTGTGTTGTTGCTTATTGCTCAATAAAGCTTTTAAGCACCCTTAGAAAGGATGAAATGGAAAAACAAATTGTGCCATGAGAGGGGCTCAGCTTGAACTGAAGCTAACCTTGAGCTTGAAATAGGACTTGGAAGGTCTGTGGAGCCGGTGGAAGAGGCATCTCCAGATGTACCTGAGGGGTGGGGAGCCCCCTAGGAGGAACTCACTGTGGGAAGGGACAGCAAGCAGGCACACAGACCGTGTCAAGGGCGAAGACAGAAATGATTCAAAATGTTCCTGTGTCGGCCACTTGAAAGGTCCCATGGCCCAGCCCCCTTGAGGCCTGGGTCATCGAACACGAGGCCTGCAATAAAGGATTATATAAAGCAGATGGAATGGTTTCATTTATATTTCTGTGAAAAGCAGCAGCAGACGGGTCTCTTTTGGTGTGAATAGTGACAAAGTGCATCAGCAAGAGAAGAAGAGAATGCTAGGCCTCTCAGGTTATCAAGCAAATAAATTTCCAGGGTAAATGTGGACACCCCAGGACTCTTTTGACCATTTGAAAGGAGTCTAAAGAGGGCTGAATTCCCCAGTGAGCAGAGGAAGGCAATCCAGAGGAACCCTGTTTTATAGCATAGGTGTGACCCCCACATTTAGCCTTAGGTTGGGGTTGTCAGGGAAAAGTTTTTGTGGCTATTTGATCCCATTGTTTTTCAGCAAATACACATCCTTCTTCTACCCTTTGCAATCCCTTCTCTCCCTGACCCCATTCATTCTGTATGGCACCCCCCAAAAAAACTGGAAGGAAGCTTATCTCTTATGTAACTTTTTTAAATGTGCTTTACGTCATGCTTTAGCATAAGCTCTAGTAGAAATATCTGAAGTTAAGGGTTCAATTAAAATCATTTGCTTTAGCACTCAAAGTATCTTTCTCCCTGATGCCTAATTCCCTCCCTTAAAGACTTCTGAAGATTATCCTTCCATCTCTCTAGGCAACGGGATTATTTGGCATCCTTCTGGCTTTTCCTGTCTCTTGTCACTAAAACTTTCCATCCGTTTTATGTGCCCTGTTATTAGTGATGATTGAAGAGGAGAGTTTTTACAAATATGAGCAGCTTGGCCCATTTGGATTTAATGCCCAGAATCCTGGGAAGGTTTTTTACCAATTACCACTGGACAGATGATCACTAATGTTTGTGCCAGTCCCAGGAGATCACAAAGATTGTCTTGGTAATTTTCAACAATATCAAGAAAGGGTTCTCTGTGCACATGATGAGGAAAACAGATGACGGTATGGGGGGGATGCACAGGTCTCCTCAATGTGATGTTCTAAGAACATTGCAGCTCCAGTGCAGTCAGTGTGACAATCCTCAGATGCTATTATTCCAAGGAGGTCAATGACAGGTAAAAGTTTGGGCTCTGCCCCAGCTTGACAGCTCATTCCCCCCCACCCTTGTGATTTGCTCAGCTCTGTAGGATGGCTGTTGTTCAAAGGCCTGCCATTCACATGGAGGCTGAGGCCCAGAAAGAGGAAGTAGTTTGTCTCAGGTCACACAGCCCACCAGGACAGAGCCTGGAGAAAAATACACTTCCCACCAAATCCTCCCACTGTCGTTACTGGACTAGATTGCAAGCTCCTTAAGGACGTGTTATATGATGATCGCTAACTCCATTTACACATGTTTAATGAGCACCCACTTTGTGCCAGGCGCTGTGCTGGATACTAGGGACACAAAAAGGGCAGAGCCCTGCTGTCACACATTATAGGGGAGGATTGGACACCCCCCGCAAAAAAAAAAGAAGGTGTATAATTACAAAACGTGGTGCTAAAACAAAAATCTTCTAGGGGGCCAAAAGGAGGAGCACATGAAGTAGGACCTACTTCAGGTGCAGAGATAACAATGAAGTTGAAACTTATAGTATGAGAAGGAGCCACTTGTTTGAAGAATTGATGAATGAGCCTTCCAGGAAGAGGGGACAGCATGAGAAAGTCTGAGCTGGGAGTGGGTTTGAGTGTTGTGTTCCCAGACTGGAAACAAGGCCAGTGTGGCTGTAGCAGAGGAAGCAAAGGTGAGGGCAGCCATGAGGTGTCACACTCTCCAGCCATGCCTAGCAGTACAGTATGGGGACCATGATGGTTAATTTTTTGTGTCAAGTTGGCTGGCCCACGGTGCCCAGGTATTTGGTCAAATATTATTCTGGATGTTTCTGTGAGGTTGCTTATTTTTTGGATAAAATTAACATTTAAATTGGTGGACTTGAGTAAAGCAATTGCCCCCCTTCATATGGGTGGGCCTCATTCAAGCAGTTGAAGAACTGAATAAAGCAAAGACTGACCTCCCCCAGGTAAGAAGGAATTCTGCCAACAGACAACCTTAGGAATTAAACTGCAACAACAGCTCTTTCCTTGGCTCTTGATGGCCTGCCCTGCCCATTTTGGAGTTGCTACTCTCCATAATTGCCTGAGCAAATCCCTTAAAAGTCTCTCTCTCTACACACAAACACACACACACACACACACACACACACACCTATCCTATTTGAGGGGTTGGGGAGAGAAGAACTTAGTGCAGGTGATGAGAATAGACAATCCTCTTTACTTCTCCGAGCCCTGCGCAGCCCTTGTTCATGGGATACACTCTCTGGAATCACAAGGACCACGACTCGCTGTAAGCAGAACACTGGACTGGAAACACTAAAGCCAGTCCAGAATCATATCCAGGTACTGAGCAGAGAATGGACTAATTTCTCTCCACCAATGACATTCCTTCCACCATAAAGGACTTTCTCCCTTATCCTCAGGAGATACCATCCCAATCTCTGGTAAGTCTGTTCTAGGGGTTTTGTGGCTCTCTGGAAAGGACAGGAGAATACAAAATGGTTAAAAACCACTCCTCTTAAGGTTCATTTGTATGGTTCCCATGTTCAAGAAGGCCACAAATTCAGCCTTTTAATATTATCTGCAAGTGGGGTTATGCACAACATAACACCAAAATGTAGAAGGAAGGTGACCAGTGAGAACAGTAAATCACCTTAAAATCCTAATATCAAACCACAAAATCTGCTGAGGCCCTCTTCTGATCACTTCCTATCCACCTTGTTTGTGAAGGAGAAATCCCCCACCCTAAAACAGTATGAGGTAGCCAAACACACAGCACCTGACACTGGATCCATGAGACTGGCAGCAATTTAATCAGCACACAGACTCACAGCCTGGGAAAGGTGGACACTGCACGGGGCAGGGCCACACAGGTTTGTGCTCAGGAACAGAGTGAACACGCAGGGTCTGTGGGAGGCAGGCCTAGTAGTGAGGGTGAGGGGACCATTGATTCCCACAGGAAGATGTGGTTGTTTTGTCTGAGCAACTCCTTGGGCTAGCAGGGAGGTGAAACCACTAGGCTGAGGAGCAGGTGGGGTACAGCTGAGAAGGGAATTATCTGGATGGGGAACTTTTCCTTTCCTGTGGGGTATGTTTGTTGAGAGCAGAGAAACTCAGGTGAGGTCTTTGGGGCCCTCTGAGACTCAAAGATGTCAAGGCAGCACCTGAAATTTCATGCCTTACAATTACAAAGCTCTGAATTCATATTTTTAAATGTTGTGGTTATCTTGTGAAGAGCAAATTTATAGCAAAATATGTTGTAGGTGCTAAAGGAATAAATATGGGAAATGAAATTTTTCTCAAAATGCACCAAAGTAACTTTTAAAAACTTCTATCAATACGTCATAGTCAACTTGGGCTGCTGTAACAAAATATCATAGACTTGGGGGTCTTAAACAACAGACATTTATTTTCTTACAGTTCTGAAGGCTAGGAAGGCCAAGACCAGGGGGCCAGCATGGTTCGGTTCTGGTTCTGGTGAGGAACTTCTTCCTGGCTTACAAATGGCTGCCTTCTTTGTCCTCACACAACAGAGGGTGAAGGAGAGGGGGGTAGAGAGAAGGGAGGAGAGGGGGGTAGAGAGAAGGGAGGAGAGGGGGGTAGAGAGAAGGGAGGAGAGGGGGGTAGAGAGAAGGCAGGAGAGGGGGGTAGAGAGAAGGGAGGAGAGGGAGGTAGAGAGAAGGGAGGAGAGGGGGGTAGAGAGAAGGAAGGAGAAGGGGGTAGAGAGAAGGGGGGTAGAGAGAAGGGAGGATGGGGTAGAGAGAAGGGAGGAGGGGGGTAGAGAGAAGGGAGGAGGGGGGTAGAGAGAAGGGAGGAGAGGGGGTAGAGAGAAGGCAGGAGAGGGGGGTAGAGAGAAGGCAGGAGATGGGGGTAGACAGAAGGCAGGAGAGGGGGGAAGAGAGAAGGCAGGAGAGGGGGGTAGAGAGAAGGCAGGAGAGAGGGGTAGAGAGAAGGCAGGAGAGAGGGGTAGAGAGAAGGCAGGAGAGAGGGGTAGAGAGAAGGCAGGAGAGAGGGGTAGAGAGAAGGCAGGAGAGGGGGGTAGACAGAAGGCAGGAGAAGGGGGTAGGGAGAAGGCAGGAGAGGGGGGTAGAGAGAAGGCAGGAGAGGGGGGTAGAGCAGGGTAGAGCACTCTGCTGTCTTTCCTTATAAGGACAATAGTCCCATCATGAAAGCTTCATTCTCATGACCTCATCTAAACCTAATTATCTGCCAAAATCCTCATCTCCAAAACCCATCACATTGGGCATTAGTTCTTCTGCATGTGTTTTGGGAGGACATAATTTAACCCATAGCACCTTACAGTAGGATCCTTCTCAATAAAAAGGAACAAACCGCTCTTACACACAAACATGTGGATGAATCTCAAAAGCATCCTGCTAAATCAAAAAAGCTACACCAAAACTATGTACTTGGGGACTCAATTTATACAACATTCTGCAAAAGTCAAAACTATTGGGACAGAAAGGCAGTCAGTAGTTGCCAGGGTTTGGATGTTGGGCAAGAAAATTTTCCACAAAGGGGCATGAGGAAATTTTTTGGAGTGATGAAACTGTTCTGTGTCTGGACCACAGTTATGGTTACACCACTGCAGGCATTTGTCAAAACTTATCTAACTGTACACTTTAAAATAGTGAATTTTATTGCATGTGATTTATTCCTTAATAAACCTGCCACACACACACACAAAAAAAATCACCTTCCACTTGGAAAATGCTTTACAATTAGCCATGCACCTTTTTCATCCATTATGCTGTTGATTTTCACAACTCAGTAAAGTAGGAAAAGTGGTTTTATTATCTCCATAGGAAACAGGGCTTTGGAAAGTTAGTCACTACTGAGCTCATTCAGCCTGAAGGAGAACCATGTCTTCCAAGTCCTAAACAAAGGCTCTTCCTTCTCTGCCCAGAAAATCTGCTTGGGTCAAGCAGATGTGAAGGCAGCACCCATCACCCACTCTGGATTGTGCCTGGGAATATGTGCTTCCCATTCACTCTCTAAGTTTTCTTCTGACAGCTAAGCTATAATGGAAGTATCATTATCCCAGTTTACAGGTCAGAAGAGAGAAGGATTAATTATTTGGCCTGAGGTCAAATGTCAAGACAGTGACAGTATCATGATTTTTAACCCAGGTCTGAATGGGTAGATAGTCCTGTGCTTTTCATGACCAAGCCCTGTGCTTCTCAAAACTTAACTTTAGTTCCAAATAAGAGCCCACAAAATAAAAAATCTAGAACAATCATGGGAAACAAAACAATTATGAGCTTCTTCAATTGGGCAGTGAGCAAAACAATGCTAACCAGGCTTTTAGTTATCTTTTTAACTCATCAGTTGTTAAAAGTCTTCAAATTCATCCATGTACACGTGTGGATTAAAAAAAAGTCTTCAAATTCCACAGACACTTCCTGAAAGACTCTTTGTCCAGCAAATTAGCCACCTTTCTTGATGCCCTCTCTCCTCACCAAGACCTTCCATTTTGCCAACTCTGTTGCGCAAAGCACAGTCCTGAATCAGCCGCAATCTGACCTGGAGAATCAAAAGGTAAGAACACCAGGCAGGACCAAAAGGTGCTTGGGAACAGCAGAGGGGCCCAGCAGTGTGTGCCAGAGGTTTTTCTGCAACTGTCCCAAGTAACCCCAGGGGCCAGGGTGCAGCATCTCGCTGTCCCTTCTGGCAGGGCCATCTGTAAGAACCTTTATACCGGAAGAAGCAGGTCCTGATTTGCCCTTGTCATCTGGGCAACTGCAGGCTTTACCCACATCTCTGTGGTACCTCCAAGTCCTGAGCATTAAGTTAAGCAGACTCTGCTTTGCAGATGGAAGGTCAAGGCCAGATGACAGAAGTTTCCCCTTCCTCATGCATGCCTCATTTCTTGCAGCAGGAAGAAAGGGGAAACAAAAAATTTCTGAGTGCCTCCTATGTGCCAGGATCTGTGCTATGAATTTCCTGTGTCATACTATTAATTGTCAGCATCCATGGAACATTTTCTATGTGCCAGGAATTGTGCTATTCACTTTTCTATACATTATTTAAATCCACTCAACAACCTATTTGATGAGTACCATTACTATCTCCACTTCACAGATAGAGAAATTGGAGTTTATAACATTTGAGCAATGTGTCTAAGGTCACACAGCTACCACATGAGAGGAAGATTTCAAACCTAGGGCTGCTGGCCCCAAAGACTCAATTATTTGCATTACACCCTGTTGCCTATGATGCTTAACTCCCCACAATTTAGTCTGTTTCCAGAATCAGCCCTAAGTCCCTATCTAACTTAAGAACAGAAGTGAGCATTTTTAAGAAATCAGCATGTTTCCCCTAGAAACGGCCCTGTGAGATTAAAAAATATTTCATAAACACTTTCTGAGCTTCCTACTCCACCCAAGTCAGTGATAGATGCTTCCTGCTGTGGTTTAAACGTGTCTCCTCCATAACTCATGTTGAAATTTAATTGTCATTGTAACAGTATTAAGAGGTGAGACCTTTAAGAGGTAATTAGGCCATGAGGGCTCCACCTTCACAGGTGGGATTGGTGCTATTATAAAAGGGCAAGTTCAGCCTCCTCTTGCTCTCTCACTCTCTTTGCCTTTCCAACACGTGATGCCCTCCACCATATTCTGATGCAGCAAGAAGATCCTTGCCAGATGCTGATCCCTTCATCTTGGACTTTCCAGCCTCCAGAATGATAAGCAATAAATTTCTGTTTGTTATAGATTACCCAGTCTGTGATATTCTGTTATAGCAGTGCAAAACTGCTAAGACACTTCCACATTATATCACCTAAGAGATTATATAGAAATTTGGGAGTGGCAAATGCTTGGCCCAAGACTTCCCTCTCCACGTTTAGTAGACATCCCTAATCAACCAGGACACTCACTCTACTTGAGTCTAAATGCATCCTCAGAGTCCTTCTCAACACAGAGCTCAAACTACCAAAATCAGCTAGTTTTAGCCCATAAGTTGAAGCCTATTAGACTTTCCTGCTGGAGTTTATAGGCAGAAATAGTAGTGAGGTGGCAACAAGAAATAATGGAATAGAGTATTTTGAGTAGAAGTGCTAGGCTCAAATCCTTGTTTTACTTCTGTGTGTGAGCAAGTAAAGTAAACTCTTGGCCTACTTGTCTTCTTCATCTAAATGAAAATAATAATACCTCACCTATGTCACAGGTCTCTTGGACCCAGAAATTGTTCATGAGAGTGAGAAGAAAGAGGCCACAAAACCAAAAGCCTAAAGTAAGGGTATTTGCAAGAGATAAGAAAATTGGAGAACTTAGAAAGTGAGTTTTGCCTTGGAAATAGCCTAAGATTTTCTACAAAGGAGTTATGTTAGGTGTCAGGATGTCTTCAAGGTCTTAATGCCCTGTGTTATACAACAGAATTTATTATGTATAATAGTGCTGTCCTCATAGGTAAACATAGGGCTAAGCCATAACTCTAGAGCTACCCAGGCAGGAGAACATGAAAGAAACATGCAGGCCGAGGTGCTGGCTTCCTGGTCAACTCCTGGTGTGATCACACATCAGCTGTGTGATCTTGGGTAAGTTCTTTAACTTGAAGCTCACTTCCATCATCTGAGAAGGGAAAAAATCATTTCTATTTTAAAAGATTTAATGAGATAGTTCCTACACACAGTGGGTTTGCAACAAAAGGTTTTTGTTGGAGTGTAAAGACACAGGGATTGGCAGGCAGAGATGACAGCAGAGACTCGACCATGTGGTAAAGGGATGATGTAAACAGGGGGTGGTGATTTTCCATCATGGTACAAGGAGGGGCTGAGGGCGGAATTTGCATGTGTCTTGTTCACTGATGTCACCCATGGCAGCTGGCACATAGTAGGTGCTCTCGTGTATTTATAGGTTGGTTGTTTGGTGGATTGGGTAACAATCAGGAAAACATTAAAAGGCTTCAAGCAGGGAAGAACGTGATCTGATTTACATTTTTAGAACATTGTTCTACCTGTTTCATGAAGGAAGAGAGTGGGAGGACAAGCATGGAAGCAGAAGTCCACTTTGTTTCTCTCATCCAGGATAGAGACCATGTGGATGGGAGATCCTGAACCAGTTGAAGAATCGTGGCAGCCAGGGCCCTGAGCAAGCCAGAAGAGTTGGAAGAATGTCTGGAGAATGAGATGTTCCCAATTAAATTTCTAATTAGGTGCCCTCTCTGGTGGTAACAAATCAAGGGCATATCCAAGGCAGAGGCAGCTGAGATTCTGTGTAATGAAACACTGGTGCTGATTAGAAGGTGGAGAAACTGAGAAGCCAGAGTGCTAGATGCATTATCCTTCACCGGCAGTGTCTTATTTCATTCTCATGCAAAGCTGCCATGTCTGCATAAGTGTCCTCCTGTTACAGATGATGGAGAGACTCAAAGGTTAAGTGATAGGTCAAGGACAGGATAGTCACCGAGCTGGGCTTCAACCCAGTGAGGTCGGACTTTACAATGACCATGGCCTTTCTCCCGTTTCCCTGTTGCCCAACAACTTAACTATAATCGGCACTCCTTTAACTTCACTACACCCAGCTAACATCTCACAGCTTGCATTCCTCTGATTTGTTTTTCTGCAGTTACTGCACTAAGAATGCCCCATGGAAGGAAAAGGGTGTGAGAGGGAATCAGAATTACAAAGATGCAAAGTCACAAGGTGAACAAGTGAGGGCTACAACCCAGCAGGCTATTGCCTTTGGCTACTCCAAGAGGGGAGCCACTGTTTCCCTCCAAATTGCAGGGCTGTGCCCTTTCTACCTGCCACCAGGTCCCGCAAAACAAGGCAAAGCACTTGGTATTGCTAAAATATCCATCATTTTCCAAATACGGCGCTAAATGGTGTGTCTGGACCATAAATACTGCACAGGCACTGGGCAAATAGGTGTATTTTTGTCACCATTTCATTTCTTATACATCATTACCTATGCAGACCATTTGGAGCCAAATGTTTGAGAAATAGGAGTGCAGCCCAAAGCAGTTGCCCCTCTTGCATTGTCTATTTTTTGGAAGATTTGCCAAGGTGACAGTGGAAAGATGGGGGCACATATTTATCATCCTCAGATCTGCTCATACATCAGTCCAGCCTGCCTGATCAACCTTTGCCCAATTTGGAACTTTATGGGCTTTATTTGAGCCTCACTGTGGCCGTTGGGCATCTCGCTATGAATCAGGGATCTAAAGCTTCATGACAGGAAATGCAATCACTCCCTTAGATAGCCAGCTCTGCCTGGAGATTGCATTGTAAAACTCCTCCAATGCTGCTGGGCTAGAAGGCCCAACACTGGAGAAATTGTGCCTGTCTTTCTTTATGTAAAGAGAATGCTGGCTGTTGCAAGCTCCATCACCAAGCTGCCAGTGTAATCTGGCTGCAATCAGGAGAGGTTTCAGAGGCATAGCCTAGTTTAAGGAAGAGCATCTAGGGAGAAGTTAATTTGTCAAGTAACTCAAGTTAAGGTTGAAATTCCAGGTTTGGTTTCTTTACATCCTAATAGAGGGAATTTCTGCTTCTGGTAAATGTGGATCATGACATAGCATACTGAACATCCTGCTGGAAACAACTAGAGTAACTGAACAAAAGATGTGTATAAGATCTGTTTGAAGGCATCAGAGAGCTGCTGAGGCAGCAAGGACTTGAGGGACCAAAAGCCAAGAGGGAAGAGATGCACAGAGGTGAGCCATCATTTGAGACTACTTCTTGCTCAAGGCATTTGCCAATTACAATGCAATGACAGGAGACCAAAAGACCGAACAAAACTTAGGCATATTAAGGTCTTCAAAGGACAAAAGTTGGAGTTCAGAGTTCATTGAAAAGGAAAGGCTCTGGTAAGCAACTCAGGCTTTTCATTGAGAGCTCCATGGGGCTCCCTATTAGGAGTCAGGTGAACTTGATACAGATCAGGCTCAAAGAGACTGAAGCCCATCTTCAATTCAGCCCAGTCCCCAAAGCACTCCATGCAGCCACTACCAACCAATTGGAGCTGGGCTGGCACACAAGGGGTAACTTTGCATATCCTAGAGAAGAGGTCAGACTTTAGAATTAGAAAAACCTGAACATTCTACCAAAGACGATTGTGTGACTAGGTCCCTTAACCATTCTGCCCCTCAGTATCCTTAACCTTTAAAACAGAAGCTGACTAAGGCAATATGAGAGAAGTGCCTAGCACCATGCCAGGCACACACTCCGTGCTCAGGAAATGGAAGCTGCAGTGAGTGGCGGGGAACAGCATACTGGGAGTCAGGAGACCTGGGGCCAGTCCAGCTCCACCACTACCTGGTTGTGCAATGCTGGGCAAATCACTTAGCATCTCTCAGCTCTGGTTTTCTAACTTATTAAATCAGGAGGTTGGAATACAATCTCTAGGGCCCTTCATGACTTTAAATTCTCTATTTCTCTGCTATCTATCCTGCAAGGTGATAGAGTGTATATAGACACATATACACGCATGCAGATATACACAAATACAAATTTTGATATACAAATATTTGTTTATATTTTGTATATATGTATATGTGTGTACCTATTTGTGTATATATATACTTTTTAAAGTTTTGCATCTTCTCAAAAAATATTTTCATTAAGGGCCTCCTTTTTCAAAGGATCTCTAACAGCAAGAGAGCATCACACAGCATGGTGGGGGCCAGGGAAGTGGGGGACAAGGAGTATTTCTGCCTACACTTGAAGAGCTTATTCCCCCAGGTACAAAGCCCAGGAACAGGTAGGTTGACCAGGACCTCCCAGGTCATCTCACTTCAGATCTGATGTCTTCCCCCTACACCACAGCTGTCTCTTGCCTCAAGCTGTAGAGGGCTCAGTGGAAAAAAAGATCGATAACAAGATCCTAAGAGCCTCTCCAGCTAACTTTTCCAACAAAAAGCATTATCCTTGAACCTGTAACTTTTCCCTCAGGAAACTAAAGAATGCCCAGCGGCCAGGTGCAGTAGTTCATCCCTGTAATCCTAGCACTTTGGGAGGCTGAAGTGAATGGATCATTTGGGGTTAGGAGTTCCAAGACCAGCCTGGCCAGTATGGTGAATGAAACCTCATCTCTACTAAAAATACAAAAACTAGTCAGGCGTAGTGTCATACACCTATAATCCCAGCTACTTGGGAGGCTGAGGCAGAATTGCTTGAACCCAGGAGGTGGAGGTTGCCGTGAGCCAAGATCGCACGACTGAACTCCAGCCTGAGTGACAGAGCAAGACTCTGTCTCAAAAAAAAAAAAAAAAAATGCCCAGAGGCTGTTTCTGGGAGTGGGCTTATGCCAGTGCTCCTGTTTGCAATGGTTGGAGGGGCCTATGAAGAAGCATCTGGGACTTGGGCCAAGGTCTCCAGACACCTGAGTCTGGGATTGGCCAGGAGGAATGATGACAGCCTTCCCAGCACAGGCCTTTGGGAAAATGCACCAAGAGGATAGGGCAGTTGTTGCCAAGTGAAGGGCAAGTCAGGGACTCAGTGCACTGCCTCTGGGTGGATTCTGAGAGAAGACTGGGGCCTGGATGAGTTTTTCCAGAATCCTCACTTCCTTAGCAGAGTTCTGGGAGAGACATTGAACATCTTTCCTCCACAGAACCGTGTAATAGCTTTGCTGCTAGCGGTGCATTGATTAAAAGTGTGAATTCTGGAACCAATCTGCCAGGGTTCAAATCCCAGCTCCATCACTTTCTTTCTACTTGTGTGACCTTGGGCAAGTTGCTTGACTGCTTTATGCCTCAGTTTCCCCATCTGTAAAATGGAGGTGATAATAATGTCTGCTTCATGGCATTGCGGTCAGGATTAAATGAGTGTTAGAACAACGTCTGGTCTTTAGTAAGGTCCACACCCATGTAAGTCATTATAAAGGTCCTGCTTAAAGATGCTCCAGTGCCTTTGATGTGGGCAAATGCATCTTCTGGCTAGTCACTTACAATTCTCTGCTTGACTCCTGAGGATCACCATGGGATATCTTCAGACTTTCTTCCAAGATCTTCTCACCTCTCTGGGTGACAACACCTTATCAGCGCACTCTCGCTCTCTCATCCACAGGAAATACTCTTCTCTGACCTCAGTCATTGGGAGTGGAATGACTTCCCAAAGGCAGCTTCTGTTCACTGAGTCACCTTCAGGCAGCTCCAGCCACAGCTTTAGTTCTGCAGATTCCCCAGGATAAGTTAGGTATCAGTCCACTGTGGGTTTCAAGAACCAGAGGAGGTATACCAAGATCTGCGAGTATTCCCATGAACATCCCTCTCAATAGACTTAGGGTCAGAAAGTATCCTTTGCTCCTCTTCCATCAAGGACAAGGATCACAGCACAGCTCTTTCCAAAGAAATTCTCCAGCTTCCAACTGCCCATCTCCACTGTCGCAATTTTTTATGTCCTCTCTTTATTGGCCTTTTAATACCCTCCAGTGGACAAAGGTTTAGGGTTCTAAAAACAGTTTTCAACCACATTTTCAAGTCCTCTAGCAGTGTAGGAGTCTGCAGTGTAGGAGGAGTTGGCCCTTACTGTCGTAGGATTTCAACTGAAAAGAGTGAAGTTCTATTTTTTTATTTTTCCATAAGTTATTGGGGGTAGAGGTGGTATTTGGTTACATAAGTTCTTTAGTGATTTGTGAGATCCTGGTGCACCCATCACCCGAGCAGTATACACTGCACCGTATTTTTGTCTTTTATCCCTCACCCCCCTCCTACTCTTCCGCCAAGTCCATTGTATCTTTCTTATGCCTTTGCATCCTCATAGCTTAGCCTCCACATACCAGTGAGAACATATAATGTTTGGTTTTCCATTCCTGAGGTACTTCACTTAGAATAATAGTCACTAATCTCATCCAGGTCATTGCAAATGCTGGTAATTCATTCCTTTTTATGGCTGAGTAGTATTCCATCATATACACCATAGTTTATCTACTCATTGATGGGCATTTGGGTTGGTTCCACGATTTTGCTATTGTGAATTGTGCTACTATAAACATGCATGTGCAAGTATCTTTTTTTGAATAATGATTCTTTTCCTCTGGGTAGATATCCAGTAGTGGGATTGCTGGATCAAACGGTAGTTCTACTTTTAGTTCTTTAAGGAATCTCCACACTGTTTTCCATAGCAGCTGTACTGGTTTACATTCCCATCCGCAGTGTAGAAGTGTTCCATTTTAATGCCCTTTTGAGAGAAAGGGAGTTCATGAGCAACAAGCACCTGCTTGGTATAAATACTTAAAGGAAATAGCCTGGGAACCTCACTGAATGGCCGTAATTACTCCCAGGGTTCTGGGCTGGAGGAAAATGGATATTTCTTCCTGAATGTGAGGCACTTGCCTCACCAGCAGAAACAGGCTGCAAGGGGCATTGAAGCTGACTAAATCTGCACAAGGACATTTTCCGCCCGCTGCCTGCTAACTCCCCTGCAAGGCCCAGTTCATTATCTTCTTAAAAGCTCGTTTTCCCGTGCAGGCTTGCTTGGCAGGCCAGAGGGTCTGTGGCTGTTTAGTCATGGCCTGTTGCTTCCACAAGAACTTTTTTCAACAGGACACTGCTCAAGCCCAAGGCAGCTCCCACCTTGTGCACAGCAAGCATGTGGCTGTTCTCAGTTCTTCCAGGATCCAGCAGCTCTTCCAGAGACCTGAATGTCAGATATCCCAGGTTCAAATGCTGGCTTTCCCACTCACCAGGACTGAAACCTTTTGTGAGCTATGTACCTTCTCTAGACCTCAGTTTCCTGCCCTCATAATGGGAGTTACACCTCCTTCCTTGGAGGTTTTGGCATGGATGTGACATGCTATTGTACACACGGTGCATTAGTCCGTTCTCATACTGCTATGAAGAAATACCCAAGACTGCATAATTTATAAAGAAAAAGAGGTTTAATTGACTCGCAGTTCCACATGGCTCGGAAGGTCTCACAGTCATGGCAGAAGGCAGAGAAGCAAAGGCACGTCTTACATGGTAGTAGGCAAGAAGAGCATGTACAGGGGAACTCCCCTTTACAAAAACATTAGATCTCGTGAGACTTACCATCATGAGAACAGCACAGAAAAAAACCTGCCCCAATGATTCAATTACCTCCCACCAGGTCCCTCCCATGACACGTGGGGATTATAGGAGCTACAATTCAAGATGAGATTTGGGTGCAGGCACAGCCAAACCGTATTACACAGCATACAACAAAGTACATGAAACATAACAGGGTCTCCGGCACTGTTAGCTCCCTTTCCTCTGGAGTATGCTCTAATCCATGATTTTTGGGGGGGCGGGGGGGTTGGGGGTGGGGGACAGAGTCTCACCCTGTTGCCCAGGCTGGGATGCAATGGCACAATCTCGGCTCACTGCAACCTCTGCCTCTCAGATTCAAGAGATTCTCCTGCCTCTGCCTCCCAAGGAGCTGGGATTACAGGCACCCACCATCATGCCCGGCTAGTTTTTGTATTTTTATAGAGATGGGGTTTCACCATGTTGGCCAGGCTGGTCTTGAACTCCTGACCTCAGATGATCCACACCCCCCTCAATTTCTTATATTGCTCTTCATTCCAGGTCTTTAACACTATATTTCAGTGCCAGTAACAACTAAAAATAAAAACGTTTCTATACTCATTAATAATTGTTATTGTCTTTATAGGGACACAAAACTACATAGACTAATGGGAACCAAATACACTACTAGGCCAACAAATTTTTATTTTACAAATGAAGAAACTTAGGGCATAGAAAAGATATACAGGTTAGTCTACAGAGCCACCTAACTGAAGATCTAGCCCAGAAGGCAGGCTTCCTAGCATTTGCACCTAACCTGGGACTGGGCAACCTTAGTTCTGGGAGGAGCCAGGCACAGCCTGATAAACCACCACAGCTGGGAGGAAGGGGCAGCAAGGAAAGGATCAAACAAAATCAACCAGCTAGGGGAGGGCAGCCATGGACGAGACAAAGCCAGATGTGACAATAAAAATAAACTGATCATCATTACTGGGCATTTACTATCCGTCAGCCCAGAGCCATGTGCATTATATATGATCACATTTAGTGCTTAACAATTCTATGAGATTATTATTCCTGGCCAGGCACAGTGGTTCACGCCTGTAATCCCAGCACTTTGGGAGGCCAAGATGGGAGGATCACTTGAACCGGCCTGAGCAACACAATAAGACCTCATCTGTACAAAAATTCAAAAAATGAGGCAGGAGGATCACTTGAGCCCAGAAGGTCAAGGCTGCAATAAGCCATGATTGTGCCATGGTACTCCCCCACCTGGGTGACAGAGCCAGACCCTGCCTCAAAAAAAAAAAAAAAAAAAAAAAAAAAAAAAAAAAAGATTATTGCCATTCTTATTGTCAACAAAGAAAGACAGATTCCTCGAGGTTGAGGAATCTGACCTATATTTTATAATTGTAAGATAGTAGAGCCAGGATTTGAACAAACAGGTCTGTCTGGTTCCCAGTTGTAATGTCAAGAGAGTCCAGTCTGGCGGCATCATATCCAAAGCATCTGGAGACAATCTATCCAGGCAGGATCATAGCACTGAGCCTTCAAGCTGAAGTCACCAGGAGATCTCCAGAGAACAGCACACCACAGAAGGGGCTCATTCATTCTTTCATCCTCTTTTTTGCTTTCTTGCATTCACTGCACAAGCACTAACCCATGCCTTAGCTGATATGGTATTGAGAAATGCCATCCAGCATCCTTGCTCCTCTGCCCATGAGAACACCGCATCCCCACTTCATCCCATGAGAGTCATGGAAATGTCCAAAACATTCAGATAAAAGCTTCTGAGGATTGGTATGGCATGAATTTTGCTCCCCAAAATAAGATGTGAAGTTCCAACCCTGGTACTTCAGAATGTGACCTCATTTGGAAATAGGGTCTTTGTAGATTTAACCAAGCGAAGATGAGGTTGCTTGGGTCAGTTCTCATGTGACAAGATTGATGTTGTTATACAAAGAG
Source organism: Homo sapiens (assembly GCF_000001405.40). Taxonomy (NCBI): domain Eukaryota; kingdom Metazoa; phylum Chordata; class Mammalia; order Primates; family Hominidae; genus Homo; species Homo sapiens. Next base: position 85,918,621 of record NC_000015.10, on the reverse strand, counting down.
GAAACATGGACACAGAAACACTCAAAGGGAAGCTGACGAGAGGAAGAAACACACAAAGGGAAGAGACAGGGAGAATGCCACATGAAGACAAAGGATTGGAGTGATGTATCTACAAGCTAAGGGTCTTAGTCCATTGTGCTGCTATAAGAGACTACCACAGGCTAAATAATTTACAAAGAACAGACATTTATTTCTCACAGTTCTGGAAGCAGGGAAGTCCAAGATCAAGGTGCCGGCAGGTTGGTTTCTGGTAAAGGTCTGGACTCTGCTTTCAAGATGGCACTGTACATACTGCACCGTCCAGAGGGGAGGAATTCTGTGTCCTCATGTAGCAGAAGGCAGAGGGGTAAGAGGGGAAAAATTCCCTCCTTCAAGCCCTTTTATAAGACACCTAATCTCATTCATGAGGATGAGATTCAGTCAGTCACTGTATTAGTCCATTTTCACACTGCTGCTAAGGACATACCTGTGATGGGGCAATTTACAAAAGAAAGAGGTTTAATGGAGTTACAGTTCCACATGGCTGGGGAAGCCTCACAATCATTGTGGGAGGCAAGGAGGAGTAAGTCACATCTTACATGGATGGCAGCAGGCAAAGAGAGAACTTGTGCAGGGGAGCTCTTCTTTTTAAAACCATCAGATCTCATGAGGCTTATTCACTATCATGAGAACAGCACGGGAAAAACTTGCCCCCATGATTCAATTACCTCCCACTGGGTCCCTCCCACAACACGTGGGAATTCAAGATGAGACTTGGGTGGGGACACAGCCAAACCATATCAGTCACATCCGAAAGGCCACACTTTCCAATACTGTTGCACTGGGGATTAACTTTCAACATGAATTTTGGAAGAAACAAAAACATTCAAACCAAAGCACCAAGAAACACCAATGATTTGCTGGAAATGCAACAAAAACTAGGAAGAAGCAAGAAAAGATTCCCAAGTAGGTTTTAGATGGAGTATGACCCTGCTGATGCCTTGATTTTGGACTTCCAGCCTCCAGAACTGTGGGATAATAAATTTATCTTGTTTAAGCCACCCAGTTTGTAGTACTTCATTACAGTAGCCCTGGCAAACAACCACAGAGATGCTCCACACACTCCACCCTCAGCCCTCAAATCCCCCTACGAAGCTGAGAAGCATATATGGATATTGCTCTGAGGACTCTCAGATGACCTTTGACAATAAAGGTAACCCAGCCCTCCATGTCTCATTCATTTATTCATTTATTCATTCATTCTCCCTGGTTTTTCAAGTCCCAATTTCATGCCAGACACTATGATGAGTCATAAATGTGAAAAAAAATGCACCTCTGTCATCGGGGAGCTCATATTTGAGAGGGAGATGCGCTATTCAGAGATTCTGGCAGGCAGGATAAAGAGGGCATCCAGGTGGTTGGAATCCACTGAGAGGGAGGGGTTAGGGGCCAATGCCTCGCTTCTAAGGAGCTGGGGTGTTAGGCATGCTACCCAGATCCAACAGAGGTTCAGCTAGCAGGACAAGAGTGGTCTAGAAGTCTAAAATGAGAACCAAAGCTTTGGGAGGACAGAGCTGCTAAAATTCCTTCTAAGAATTGCTCTAGAGACCAGGGAAGCCTGATCCTATAGTGAAGAGGTAAACAGCACCAAGGTTTTGGAAAGAAAAGTCTTATTGTGAAAACTGGACTAAATCTAATCCATTCTCAGTGGTTACATGAAGTAGGAATTTTATAGCCACCCACCAGGCTGCTCAGAACTCTCATCTGCCATGGGCACATGGGGCTCTTCTCTCCCCTTGGAGACTGTGCTCCAGAGGCTGAACGGAGGCTGAAGAAAGGCTCATAGGTGGCAAAAGCTTGGCAAAGGTGTCTCAAATTTGTGAGCCATCCTGAAAATTTACATGATATTGCCAGTGAAGAATTGCAAAGCAAAAAGGATCTTTTACTAAGCTCTCAATAACAAAAAAAAAATTGATCAATCATGCTAGAGGGAATGCTGAATCATCTTTATGTGTGATTTTTATACTCTTTCTACAACAGTATCAAAAAATCATTGTCATGTGAAAAGGAAATCAAAGAATGCACAGCCAAAAACTTGTAGGATGAAAAGGTATACTAGACAAATTTGCAGGTAGTTAATGAACAAATTATGTTTCTTTTCTGGTTTGTATGCTGAGTTATTTGGTAACTTTTCTTAAAATTAATAGACTCTGGGGTTTTTGTGGGTTTTTTTTCCCCCAGATGCAGTCTCGCTCTGTCACCCAGGCTGCAGTGCAGTGGTGTGATCTCAGCTCACTGCAACCTCTGCCTCCCAGGTTCAAGCAATTCTCTAGCCTTAGCCTCCTGAGTACCTGGGGTTACAAGCACTTGCCACCACTCCTGGCTAATTTTTGTATTTTTAGTAGAGACGGGGTTTCACCACATTGTCCAGACTGGTCTCGAACTCCTGACCTCAAGTGACCCACCCGCCTCAGCCTCCCCAAGTCCTGGGATTACAGGTGTGAGCCACTGCACCTGGACAACTCTGGGGTTTGTTTTTGTGGGTTGTTTTTGCATGGTTTTAGGTTTACAGAAAAATTGAGCAGAAATTACAAAGTCCCCATATCCTCCCACATATGCACTCCCATCCCAATTTATTTGGGAGTTTTTTGTAAATTTGTAAGCTGTTGTGATTCCTTAATCTAAAGAAAAATTTACTTTTTATCAAATTTTTATGTTTGTGATTTTGTATTCTTTTTTATGAAAGGGCACCCCAAATCTTACAAGCTTCAGATACCCCAAAACCTGGACTCACTCCTCCCGTTACCTCTTAGCTTGATGCATTCTCTCTACACCAACATGAGTAGGCATATTATAGCCAAACTGCAGGCTGAGCTACAAAGAGGCTAAACAATGCAGCCAGAGGCCCTGACCAGTGAGTCACTGGGGACCCAGCACTAGTGCCCAAATTCTCCTTGAACAATGTTCCACCATCCACCCTCTCCTGACAGGCAGCTGCCAGGTCAGGGCTTTGGGCTTCCACAGGTTTCCTTGGCTAAGCACTGGGCTCACCCAGTCCAGTTCATCCCTCTCTCTAGGTGGGTGCCTGACTTCTTGTCCTCTAGAAACAGAGACAATCGTGAAAACAGGCCTGTAATCCCTCAGCCACACATCTGGAATTCAAAAACTCCAAAACTCAAAAGTTTTTCAAAACTCATCAGCAACAAAATCTGACCCAAATAGACAAGAAGTTATCACTTATCTTTATTTATCTAGCTTTGCGTGAATATGAAGATATTTTGCTGTTGGATTTCAAAGCTGCCCCAGACCCTACAGGGATGTTATGTAATATACACAACATAAACTATCATTACTTTTCTCAAGTCCACAGGGTTCTGAATTCTGAAGTACATTTGGCCCCAAAAGCGTACAAAGGAGTTATAAATTTGTGTATACCCCATAGGATTTTCCGAAGGTCAAAAATGGTAATGCACAGCTGTGCATCGTGGTGTGTACCTATAGTCCAAGCTACATGAGAGGCTGAGGTAGGAGGATCACTTAAGACCAGGAGTTGGGCAACATAGCAAGACCCCATCTACAAAAAAGAAATAAAAATGGTAATACATATCAACTTGGAGAATTACAAAGTACTGAGCAGATGTAAGTCGTGGGGACGGTGGTTGTAACTGTTACTATCGGTAGCAGATTCTGGTGTAGAAATTCCACCACCATCATATTAAGAGCTGTTACACGAGAAGGAGAAAAAGACCCTCATTTCAATCTAAGTGACTTGTCCACTTGAAATGTTACCCGAGAGCCAAGCATCCCACCTGGACTGGGGTAAACACTGCTACATCACACACCTAGATTCTGACAAAGCTCAGTGACCTGCAAAGTGCAGCAAGAATCTAAGGTCCATTCCCAGTCCTCCACTGATTAACCAGGCCACCCCCAAAAGCTCTCTAGGCTTCTGTTCCCCTTCTCTAAAAAAGGGGGAATAATAGCTCATCTGGATCTGTGTTACGAGTTGAATCGCATCCCACCAAAATTCACGTGTTGAAGTCCTAAACCCCAGTATCTTCAGAATGTCACCTTATTTGGACATAGGGTCTCTACAGAGGTAATCAAGTTAAAATGAGATCATTAGAATGGAACCTAATCCACCATGGCTGGTGTCTTTAAAACAAGGACAAATTTGGACTCAGACACATGAATAGAAGGAAGAAGGTGTAAAGAGACACAGGGAGAAGATGGCCTTCTATAAGCCAAGGAGAGAGATCTGGAATACACGCTGTCCTCAACAGCCTTTGAAGAAACCCATCCTGACCTGGGTTTTGGACCCCTAGAGTCTGCAGAACCATGAGGCAATAAATTTCTGTTGTTTAAGCTGCCCAGTTTGTGGAACTCTGTTACCGCAGTCCTAACAAACTAATACAGTCGGTGTAAAAGGAGCGTCTACTTTGTGAATGTATCACTCTACCTTTATCATTACTCCCATGATAATGCAAGTCACAGCTGGTCGTGGTGGCTCACGCCTGTACTCCCAGCGCTTTGGGAGGCCGAGGCAAGCGGATCACTGGTCAGAAGTTCAAGAACAGCCTGGCCAACATGGTGAAACCCTGTCTCTACAAAAAAAAATCCAAAAAAAAATAAAATTAGCTGGGCACCTGTAACCTCAGCAACTCAAGGAGGCTGAGGCAGGAGAATCGCTTGAACCCAGGAGGCGGGGGTTGCAGTGAGCCAAGATCGCACCATTGCACTCCAGCCTGGGCAACAGAGCAAGATTCCATCTCAAATAAATAAATAAATAAATAAAGTCACATGTGTGTCATAGCATATAGGACCATATCTCAGTAAATCCAACTTCAGGTTGAGCCTGCTGTTGCCTGGCAGATTTTATAATTCTGCATGTTCTCCTAAAAAGTTAGCTTTGCATAAGAACTCCAATTTACAGCAGAATGAAAGCAGCATAAGGATATCTCTGCTGTTATCTGATTTTGGATCTATTTTACTAAGTCAACGGGTTTGAATTTCACCTCCTGTTCCTGCCCATCTGTCAAGTCGACACATTTCAAATGAGTTGAATGATTATTTACCAAGCTGCTCTAACCACAGTAATCATAATAGTTACTGCTTACTGAGACCTACTCTGGGCCATGCCCTGGGCTGTGCACTTAGAGACATCATGTAACTTAAAGCTCACCACAGGACTGGGAAGTAGTGGTCTTATCTCCATTTTATAGATGAGAAAACTCATCTGCGCCACTAAGCACAACACTAAGACAGACACTGTTGCAAACCAAGGGGCTGTGGTCTCCACTTATGAGGACATAGAAATCCTGTTGCTGATGGAGTTTAAATATACAAAATAAGAGAATTACATGATTGGATGCATATAACAAGCTGTTAAACTGAATATAAGTGGATGTCAAACCTACGATATTATGAACTCCTCGAAGTGCAAGCCATGTTATAACTTGAAATTCTGGTCCTGTGGTTGTCACAGTTCTTGGGATTCAATAAAGATTTATGGAAGGAAAGGAAGGGAAGAAGGGCGAGAGAGAGGAAGATACAAAGAAGTTGGTTCTCCACAAAAAAAAAAGAGAAAGTGTCAATGTTCTATCTTGACCTCAATCAAAGCAAAATGGTAGGATTTGGAGCTATCAGGGCAGAAATGAGAGTAGCACATCCAGAGATGGGGGGAAGACAAAGGACAGACACTGGAAAGAGGAGATAAAATCCATATCCCAGAGAAAGACAGAGGGAAGGACACACCACCTATACAGCCGCACTCCATATCTGCCGATTCTCATCCATGAATTCAACCAAAAACAAATCAAAAATATTTGGAAAAAATAATAAATGACAATGCAAGAGCCAGTACTTGGGAGACTGAGGCAGGAGTATCACTTGAGCCCAGGAGTTGAAGACCAGCCTGGGAAACTAATGAGATTCCCATCTCTAAAAAACTTTAAAATATTAGTTCAGTGTAGTGGTATGCACCTGTTGTCCCAGATACTTGGGAGGCTAAGGTGGAAAGATGACTTGAGCTCAAGAGTTCAAGGATGCAGTGAGCTATAATCACCCCACTGCACTCCAGCCTGGGTGACAGAGCAAGACCTTGTCTCTAAAATAACAATGCAACCACAAAAAAAAAATACAAATTGTAAAATAACTATTCACATAGCATTTTCGTTGTATTGGGTAATCTTGAGGTGATTTAAAGTAAACAGGAGGATGTGCATAGGTTATGCAAATCCTATGCCATTTATATCAGGTACTTGAGCATCTGTGGATTTTGGTATCCATGGGGATCCTGAACCTAGTCCCCAAATGATACCAAGGGAGAACTGTACTCCGTGAACGGGAGGGAAATGCATTCCTGATCCACATTCAAGGGCTCTTCTGCCAAAGCCCTCTGCTGGGGTGGCCTCACAAAACACACTTTAGAAGCACATCTCATATCGGAATCTCTAGGGCTGGCAGAATGAGAAGGCCAATCCACACAGATGTATCTCTTTGAGTACATTTTGCTGTGTCTTTTTGTGGCATGCTTCTGCAGGTCTTAAAAGCACCATATACCATACACCCAGGTTCTACTCTGTCCTACTGATTGGGGAAAAAAACAACCAATTTATTCCATGCACACACATACACACATGTGTACACTTCTCTTTAGAGCAAATCTGACTTACCAGATTGGAATATCTTTGCTTCGTGGGGAGGTGGGCTTGCTCATATGCAGTAAAGGCATCTAAAACCACCAAGAGCTATAAAATCCTCAAGCGAGGTCATCTGTCTTTGACTACACAGGAGCTGACTCCAGTGAGCTGGAAGAGCACCACTGCCCAAACCCCTTAAAAAGAAATCATTCTCTCAAATGTCCCCACTGGTATTCAATGGGAATTCTAGGTGCCCAGGAGCCATAACTTGATTAGTTTAATGATATGGAATAGAATAACTTACTAAATCCTCTCAGAAGAAATTGACTTTTTTTAAAAGATGAAATCTTTGCCTCTGAGAGCCCCAGCTAGGCCTGGAGCTTACCCTTCCTGGACAACAAGTTTCAGCATACTTGTCTGAACTTCTGAGAGTCACCCCTACCTTCTGTGACAGAGACAGAGAGTGAGACATCAGATAAAGTTATCTGGATTTATTTAGGTAAAAAGTTTAGAAATCTCACTCAGAGGTGGGAGTTGAACAATGAGAACACTTGGACACAGGAAGGGGAACATCACACACCAGGGCCTGTCATGGGGTGGGGGGAGGGGGGAGGGATAGCATTAGGAGATATACCTAATGTAAATGACGAGTTAATGGGTGCAGCACACCAATATGGCACATGTATACATATGTAACAAACCTGCAGGTTGTGCACATGTACCTTAGAACTTAAAGTATAATTAAAAAAAAAAAAAGAAAGAAGAAAATCATCACCCACCTCTGGCCAATGAGTAAGTCTGCCAGCAAAGTGGATTATGCTAATTGCAGCCCTAGACAAAATCAGCACTGCCTTTAAGTTGGCCTGCCTGAGCAACACTTCCCAGTCTGGGAAGCCAGCTTCTCCACTGAATACAGAGCTTTCTTTCTCGTTAAGCAAATATCAAAGCACAAAGGTTATTAATGGCAAGAAATTCCCAGGAAACACTGATGTCAGAGCTCCGCACATGAGGCTTGTTGGCAGGGCCTATGATCTTACTCCCAGTGCTCTGAGCTGCAGTTTGCCCTGAAGGTACGGCATGCAGATTAGCTTCCTAGGCTGTGTAACAGACTCTGCTCATCCAAACGGCCCTGAATTTGTTTCCAGGGATTGTCTGGACACCTGCTGCGTGTTTTATTCTTTGTTCTTGATTTCAAAGGTGGCTCCAAGTCACCTATCCCAGCCCAGACAGAGGAGGGCATGTCAGCTCCTGCTCACATGTGATCCTCAGACCCACAGCACCTAAGCTCTTTCCCCTGGCCCTGCAGAGTATGTAGCAACAGGCTCCCAAAGAGCAGATAACTGTAGTTCCACGTTCTTGGGGGATGATTCTAAATAAATGAGACTTGGACTGGCCTACTTATGCTCTTTACCTGAGCCCCAATCGGCTAAGAAAGACATTTTCAGCAACCAAGTGTCCACTTGGTTGAGAACAGATGACATGACAGACAAGGCGCCCACCTGGTTGAGGCAAACAGTCTGCCAAGCAAGGGCCTGCTGGGATAAGGGGTGTATGACAATCAGCTTCCTACAACTGGGATGCCAAAAGAACTCTGAAGAGCCAGAGGAACAGAGAGACACCACCACAGAGCCAACAAATAGCTGCTGAACACATGAATGACCTTTCAGCATAAGCAGGTCAGCAATCCATGTTTGCCTGCTAATTATTTCCTTGTAAAACCTGCTGCTCCATTTCATGCAAAATTTAGCTGAATGCATCAAGTGGTTAGTTGAATAAGCCCTCCTACGTGAAGTTTCTAGTAACGGAAGAATTCATGTGGTCACTAATATCTAGTTTACTTTCTCTGAGTGCTGCAGATCAACACCCACCTCCCCCCAACCCCCACCACTGCCTGTCAAACCCTGCCTCCCCTGACCCCCGCTCTGCACACCAAACCACCCTCTCCTCTAGCACATCTTAGAACAGAACAGATGTGATGGTTTGTAATGTGCCTACTAAAGCTGGACTTCATTTCCCAGAATTCCTTTTTCTTGTATGTTTCCTTTCAGGGTGGACTACAAGAGATACCCTTGTGGCTTCCACAAGATACCCTCATTACCAAGGTCAGAGGCAACAAGAACAGACATGGGATTCTGTTTGTACTTATGAGGTTCCAGCCTGCATGTGATCTTCCTCTTCTGACCAATCTGCCTGGAGACTTCAAGCTCTAGCATTAGGCTGAGAGACAGCCTTGCAGAGACCACTTAGGCAGCATCTATAATTTCATAAACTAATTCCCAATGAAATTGGAATTCCATATAAAATTATGTTCATGAGTCTTTGAGTGAACCCTGTCTGATACAACAAGTAAAGGATTTTAGAGACAAAACTCCTTAAAGAAGGTATAGGTAGAGAGGATTACTAAAGTATAGAAAGCACCCAATACAGATTATGGCATGCAGTAAGAGCTCAGTAAACATCACCCAATTTTAAATGGCCAGGGTGTGTGTGAAAATAAAATAAATGTGAAAATGTTTTGAAAGCTATGAAATACTATTCAAATGCTGCTTTTATTATTACTACAGTTGGTGATATTGCTTATACTATCAGTAATATAAAGAATATTGGCTGGGCACAGTGGCTCATGCCTATAATCCTAGCACTTTGGGAGGCCAAAGCGGGTGGATTGCCTGAGCTCAGGAGTTCGAGACCAGCCTGGGCAACACGGTGAAACCTCATCTCTATTAAAATACAAAAAATTAGCTGGGCGTGGCAGCGTGTGCCTGTAGTCCCAGCTACTCGGGAGGCTGAGACAGAATTTCTTGAACCCAGGAGGCAGAGGTTGCAGTGAGCTGAGGTCGCACCACTGAACTCCAGCCTGGGTGACAGAGCAAGAGTCCATCTTCAAAAAAGGAAAAAAAAAAAAAAAAAGAATATTGATGTAAATATTTGAGGAGAAAATACCTAATTCTTTTGGATTAGTGACACAGCATTTGGAATACATATTTCTATACTGAAAACACCTATATCAACCACACCAAAATGGCTATGCTGTGATTAGAACTCCTTCCCCTAAGGCTCACACAGGTTCCCAGGCCAGTCTCAGCAGGGGCAAGGGATATGCAGATTACCACCTTCCTACTTTTCCCACCCAATGGAAATGTCAATTAAGTCATGTTTCCCGAACTGGGATCCAATAGCCAGATCCCACTATTGGGCTTCTACCTTATGAGCCAAATAGTCATATGTCCAAACACACTCAATATTTAAATGTCTTCAAAGAGTTGAACTAGCCACATACATTTTCTTCCCTCCATCTGGGGATGAGTCCTTTCCCTCACTTCCATTTCTGCTCTTTAATTCTTCGCCAACTACTCCTTTTCCTACAGACACAGCTAATTGACTCGGGTGCTAGTACCATCCTCCCCATTCCACAAGACGTGATGTTTTGCTGCCTTCTTAGGGTGGATCTCCTGAAACGACTGCATTTCCCACAAAGCCCCAGAGAATTTCACTGATGTCTGTGCAGCTACAGAATGGGATGGCCTGGAACAGACCACTTCTAGAAGTAAGAACCAGGTATCTCTGCCTCTTTAGAACTGTGGCTGGTCTATTCAGGACCCTGTTCCAGGGCAGCCAAACAGGTCAAGTTAGTCTTTCCTGGTTAACTCCCCCTCCCCATGGTGCCACATAGAAGACAGAATCATAATCCCTTGCAGCCTAAGTGTGTCTTAGTTGCCTTGGTTCTGGTCTCACAACATTGAAAGATCCCTGAGATAGGATCAGGGAGGTGTCTGTGCTTCAGGAAAAACCTTCAGTAATTGGATCTTAATTCAAACAAGCCAACCAAAGAAGACATCTTTAAAACAATCAGGAAAATTTTAACATGGGCAGTATATTAGATGCTGTTAAGGAAACTACCATGAGTTGTTTTGGGTGTGATAATTACTATTTACTGGTGAAATAAAGGATTTGCTTTAAATAGTCCAGAAAATAAGGGAGGGCAAGAGATAAACAAGATGGGCACAATGATGATAATCATTGGATCTGGGTAAGGAGATGCAGAGATTCATAAAGTTACTCTCTATGTTTTATGTCTTTGAAAGTTTCCATAATAAAAGTTTTGTTTGTGAAAAACATACAGAGACTTTCTACTCCAGGTGAATTTCTACCCTCTCAGTACCAATGAGGAGCCCAGCTCCAGTCGGGAAATGAGACTCCAACATGGGGAGGGAAAACCTGGATCTTCTCCACCTAGAGGAACAAGGGACCAGGAGAGAAGGGACATGGAGCCTGAGGTCCTCTCTCAAAGCTTCCCCTCTCTGGATTCTCAAAGCTGCTGCATATTGACCAATTTTTAGTGGCTGATCCCAGGACTATCAGACCCTAAGTAAAAGTAAGGAGTAGAAATAAGAATGCATAAAGCTGTTAGGAATTATTTTTAACAAATTTACTCTTATTATATCTTGAAATATAGGTGTAATATCATAGATGTATTTAAAGTGAAAGAGTGGTTACTGTTAGGGGAAGCAATAAAACATGCTATCAAGTTCAAATATTAATAAACATATAGGCAACAAAAACTACTATCCACATTAGATTCAACTATTAATATGAAATAGAACCACCATCTGCACTGTCAAACAGAGAATTTTTCACTTTCAGATTATATAGTTACCCAATAAAAAAGCTAGTATATTTTGAGTCCCAATGGAGTTCTCAAGGCATCTAAGCCAAAGTTAAGATTTCCACGAGGTCAGGAGATCGAGACCATCCTGGCTAACATGTTGAAACCCTGTCTCTACTAAAAATACAACAAAAATTAGCCGGGTGTGGTTGGCAGGTGCCTGTAGTCCCAGCTACCGGGAGGCTGAGGCAGAAGAATGGTGTGAACCCGGAAGGTGGAGCTTGTAGTGAGCCCAGATCACGCCACTGCACTCCAGCCTGGGCAACAGAACAAGACTCTGTCTCAAAAAAAAAAAAAAAAAAAAAAAAAGAGATTTCCAGAGGAAAACATTCTTGCAAAATCTCACATCACTTTTTTTAAATAGATAACAAACTTCAGCTTTCTTTCACAGTGCAGTAGACTCACCCTGCACAGTGGATCGTGTGCATGTATATAAATCTTCATCTCTCTCTTGCTGTGAGATGACAGTCCCATTAAGATGCCATCAGCCCCTCTTGTTCAATGGTCACCGAGTCTTTCAATCACCAAATATGTATTAAGTTGCTACACTGTTTCAAGCACTCCCAGAGGCAAAGGCTGCAAGGAAATGGTCTTATTCAGTGATGCAGTGAGGAAAGTAACATTTGAAGAGTTTTTTTTGTTTTGTTTTGTTTTTCCAGTTTACAAAGTACAAAGAACAGAACTCTCTTTTGTCTTGAGGAAGGCTCTGAATCTGTTTCCTCATTTGAAAAAGAAGGATAATACCATCATCTAGCTGAACAGCTGTGGTTTGCTTTTTGTTTCATTTTGTTTTAATTCAAAAGATATTTGTTGAGTAACCGCTTTGTATCAAGCACTGTATTTCTATTGATATCACAGACAATTACTATAACAAGCCAATGAACTGTGATAGCGCCTAGCACCCAGACTGGCAGAGTGGAAGCTTCCTAAAGCCCCATTCCGTTCCCATTCATTTTTTTCATTGGATCTGTCCGGGGACCTCCTCCGAGCCTACTTTCCCAGCCTGCGTCTTTGACAATGATTCAGTCTCTCTTCTACCACTCTGCCTTGGGCCTCACAGCACAGGCCAGCATGGGAAACATCCAATATCCACACAGCATCCTGATGGGCAGGGCTCCCACTCATCTCAGCCCAGCCCTGCCAGCACCTCCCAGACAGGATGGTAGACCAGGGACTGGAGTCACAAGGAGCAACGCAGGTCTGCCGTACTGAATTAAATAGATGAAAACTTCTGTTTCAGATACTGCTGAATTCTTGGGAAACACTTGAATAAGCAATACTTTGTGTTTTCTCACGACGGAGCAGGACTGACCCATAGAAAAGACTCCCTCAGAGCCTGCGGGGGGCTGGGCAGGCTCTGAATGGCAAGGCAGCCTTTCCCACTGGAAACCAAGGCCTTCCCGCTCCCCAGCCATTAGCAACACCAATCCCTTTTTCCCTGTCGCATTGTGTCAGCATTCACTTCTGACCAAGAAACCCCATTAATTTTCTGTGATGTACATCCCAAATGACATCACTTCAGTCCTTTGAAATTCAAAATGCTGGATTAATGAACCACAAACTTCAAGAAATTGGCTGCACAATCCATCACATCTGACTGCAACTTTACCACTACCTCAAATTCCAAAGAGCGGCATAAATTTCCCAGGCTGCTTTTGAAAATGAACACAGAAGCCGGAAACAGCAGCCCACACTGCGTTCATCGTTTCTACAAATGTTGTGTCTTCTGTGTGCTGGAAATTAAATGGTCCCATTCTCCACCTGGTATTTTATTGATATAAATTTAACCTGTTCAAATGTTGTATTAAATTCTAGTCTTTTCCAGAATAATCTGCATTTAATTCCTCATTCCACCAATCTATTGAAAATCTCCCTCTTGGCAGCCTTTCAGAAAAGCTATATGAATTACAAACTCTTTGAAATTTTGTTGAAGTATTAAGAACACTACTTACCCACATATTCAACTGAGGCCCTTTTAATTCCATTCCATTTCCCCAAACTCCTTTATATAATGTCAGAGCCACAAAAACCAGACTCAGTGACTGGGCACAGCCATTCACCTTTCCTTCAGAAGTGAAAATGGCATTAACATTCGCAAATGAAAAAATATAGATCAAACTAATTACCTCCTTTTTTCCCCAAAGTAAAAGACGATCTAACACCATTCTTTTGGACATAATGCCATTTATTTCACATAAGGGGGATTTTGTGTGCTCAGAAAAGATGGTATTTAATACGTGTGAATCAAAATCCAGATTAGCTAATTAACTGATGTCTGAGAATGAGATGAAGAATCAACATGCTATGAAAATTGTCAAAAGCACAGAAGAAATGTCACACCAGGTGAGACTAGTCCATGGGGTCCAGAGTTTTCTCTGCCAGTGAAACAGATTTTTTTTTTTTTTTTTTTTTTGACATGGAGTTTTGCTCTTGTTGCCCAGGCTGGAGTGCAATGGCACGATCTTGACTCACTGCAACCTCTGCTTCTGGGTTCAAGCAATTCTCCTGCCTCAGCCTCCCAGGTAGCTGAGATTACAGGTGCCCATAACTACGCCCAGCTAATTTTTGTATTTTTAGTAGAGATGGGGTTTCACCATGTTGGCCAGTCTGGTCTTGAACTCCTCACCTCAAGTGATCCACTCACCTCGGCCTTCCAAAGTGCTGGGATTACAGGCATGAGCCACCATGCCCGGTCCTGTTTTTTTTTCCAAAAGCACAGTAGAATAAAACTTTGGTTAGTTGAAATCACCAGAAAATGAATCATCGTCAGATAGCCAAGTTTTCCAGATAGCTGAAGGTAATTTCTTTAAATCACAAAAATGTTTTATTTAGCTTAAATGTTTCTCTGCCCTCATAGAATGCATTTATCCAACACTGGTCATTCAGTCATCACTATGAGCATCAAAAATTATTTACCGAAGGCCTAAGGACTTGGTGAATTGTAGTGGGTTATTTGCCCCTTCATTAAATTGCCCCAAACTGTTGTCCTGGATGTACCTGTCAGTGACATCTGGCTTAGTTCAATATTTCCCGACTCTCAGGTAGATTCCAGAAGGCTCATTTTTGGAAAGGTGATGTTGGGGTGGACTACCAAGGTGTCACCTTTAATGATGAAGGATTTACCTCACCCAGATCCCCAACCCTCAGTAAGAATTGGCTAAGATATTCATCATGTAGAATTTATCCAATCTAGTGGTTCCAATTTTTTTTTTTTTGGTAGAAGCAGGCAAATGAAGAGGTCATTTCTCGAATAGTCATGGTCACCTACAAGATGTGATAGTGAAACCCAGTCCTAACTGATCCAGTCTTTAGTTACAGAGGAGGAAGAGCAGAAAATTAGATTCTTAAGAGTTTCCTGGCTGTGGCAGTCAAGTGCCTCATAGAAAAATCTAGAGAACTATAGAAAAAAATAAGCCATAGAAAAAGTCCAGGCTAACAGAGGGAATGGGAAACATCAATATCACTGAAGGGTTTCCAGGTAATACTTCAAGATAAACCAATTCATTAATTTAACTACTGCAGTAACATCTCTTTCTGGTTTGTAAAATGTTTTAAGAGTACCAACTTCCAAACGTTCATACCTGTACGTCAATGTATATAAGTTTTCTAGAAACTTGAAGCCATTTAAAGTAATTAGAAGCTTTTTATTTTTCCTATTTCATGTGTAAGTCTTTTCAAAATGGACCACATGGTTTCTCGCCTACTTAGACAGGAGTTGAAGAGTCTCAACCACTCTTCTCTCAGTGTCCACGAGTACTTGACCATGGAGAAACTGGTCAACATTCCTTGTGATTTCTCCCCAGCTGAGCCACTTTGGGAACATGTATTAATGTTTCTTTACTTGAAAGATACAGAACATAACAGTACCTACCTCATAAGGTTGCTGTGATCATCAAATTAGATCAAGTAACTAGACAAGCATGTTATATTCACAAAGAGGAAGATTCTTGACATCCATATCAACTTATTCTGGATTCTGTGCCTTATTTCTTGCTTTTGCTTCTCAATTTTCTTCTGTGTTCTGCCTGAACATGTAGCTGTCATCCATCCCTTTTCATGTTTTCAGATATCTTTTTTTTTTTTTTTTTTTTGGAGGTGGGGAGACGGAGTCTCACTCTATCGCCAGGTTAGAGTTCAGTGGCACAATCTTGGCTCACTGCAACCTCCACCTCCCAGGTTCAAGTGATTCTCCTGCCTCAGCCTCCCAAATAGCTAAGGCTACAGGTGTGTGCCTCCATGCTCAGCTAATTTTTGTATTTTTAGTAGAGATGGTGTTTCACCATGTTGGCCAGGATGGTCTCCATCTCGACCTCATGATCCACCTGCTTTGGCCTCCCAAAGTGCTGGTTGTTTCTTATTTTCTACAGGTTGTCAAAATGAACTGAAGGCTCTTAAACTTCTGTGTAAAACAAGATAAAGTAGGTCCTGAATTGAGGTCTCCTCTCTGGCCTAAAACCCCTCATGAGATTTGATGGTGGTTATTTCTGATACTCAGTGGTCTTCTCTCATTACTCAATGGTAGTGATTTCCAGGAGTGTGACCCTTGATATGTGATAGAGGACTATGTCTCATGTCATTATCTCAAAATCATTCCTCATGTTATCAGTTTTATCCAAGGATTAGGACCTGGAATAAATGGACATTTATGAAACAATTTTCAAAATGTTGAGGTTAAAGAAAGTACGCAACTTCATTTACAAAGTATTTTGTTTTTGTTTTTTGAGACAGAGTCTCACTCTGTCACTCAGGCTGGAGTGCAATAGTGTGATCATAGCTCACTGCAACCTCTGCCTCCCAGGTTCAAGCAATTCTCCTGCCTCAGCCTTGAGTAGCCAGGACTACAGGTGCACGCCACCACACCTGGCTAATTTTTGTATTTTTAATAGAGACAGGGTTTCACCATATTGGCCAGGCTGGTCTCAACTCCTGACCTCAGGCGATCCACCTGCCTTGGCCTCCCAAAGTGCTGGGATTACAGGCGTGAGCCACTGTGCCCGGCCTTACAAACTATTTTTTATTTAAATACTTGAATCCAGTCAAGCCTCTAGCCCTAATTCTTTGTATAGAGGGGACGAGAAACTATAGTAGATAAAAAATGGATTAACCAAACACAATGTGGTAACTGTAAAATCTTTTTTTTTTTTTTTTTTTTTTTTTTTTTTTTTGAGACAGAGTCTAGCTCTGTCGCCCAGGCCGGACTGCGGACTGCAGTGGCGCAATCTCGGCTCACTGCAAGCTCCGCTTCCCGGGTTCACGCCATTCTCCTGCCTCAGCCTCCCCAGTAGCTGGGACTACAGGCGCCCGCCACCGCGCCCGGCTAATTTTTTTTTTGTATTTTTAGTAGAGACGGGGTTTCACCTTGTTAGCCAGGATGGTCTCGATCTCCTGACCTCATGATCCACCCGCCTCGGCCTCCCAAAGTGCTGGGATTACAGGCGTGAGCCACCGCGCCCGGCCAACTGTAAAATCTTATGTGAAGAATCTCATCAAAAGAACACGACTTTAAGAACCCATGGAGCATTCAGCATGGAAGAGGCCTCCTATGATATTAAGAAACAATGGCTAATTGTGTTGTGGTGATAAGGTTGTGGTTTTTTTAGTCTATCTATTGGAGGTACATACAGATTTATTCACAGGTGAATGACACAATGTTTGAAATTTCCTTTATGGTACTTCAGCCAAAAAAAAAAAAAAAAAGTGGACACCTGAAGTCCCAGCTACTCTGGAGACTGGGAGGCCGAGACAGGAGAATGGCATGAACCCAGGAGGCGGAGCTTGCAGTGAGCCGAGATGGCGCCACTACACCCCAGCCTCGGTGACAGAGCGAGACTCTGTCTCAAAAACAAAAAAGTGTGTGTGTGTTGGGGGTGGGGAGGCAGTGATGTGTGTTAAGGGAAGTAAACAAAAACAGCAGAATATTGATTTGAAGCTGGCGTAGGGTACCTAGGTTTTATCATACTATTCTGTTTAGTAAGGTTAAAATGTTTCCAAATTAGTCTTCAAATTTATAGATCGATTCATTTTTGGAACATGATGCCATCTAACACATTAGAGGCACCATGCTCCCGGGGATGGAAGGCTAACCGAAATCTCAGTCAGTCAAGACATCCATCAGTACTCATTGAACACCTACTGTGCACCCAGCCAGGAAGCTCTGAAAGGTCAAGCTCATTAGCAACCATTCCCAATGCAGCCTTTGACACTTGAATGCATTTATTTCCATTTAATCAATTTTGCAAAATCGTGGTCACAATGAGATTCTCATTTAGGGTTAGCGTAGGTTGAGAGACAAAGTCAATGGGTCATTTTTACCTTGTAGCAAATCAAGTATTTTTAATATATAACAATGAGTAAATGTGGCATCAATTATTAACAAAGTGAATAGAAATTGATACAATGAAACAGCTCCCCTATCTCAGTCTTCTCTGGCTTCAGTTCCTTTGCTCTTTCAAATTTGTTAAGCACTGCTAACACTATTTTTGGAATCCCTCATTAATTCCAAATAAAAGAGTCTTGGTTCTTTAATAGATTGGTTCTAGCAAAAGCAGCATGTACCTGGAAATCAGGAGGCACGACTCCTGCCCGAGACTCTGCCAGCAATACAACGTGTGACTTAGGAGAGTCGCTTCTCTGCTCTGAGTCTCAGTTTCCCCACATAGGAAATAGGGCCAATTGTACCTGGCACACGTCTTACAGGGGTTATACAAAATTATGCCTGCCCCCATATTATAGGGATCAAGCAAAAATACACAAGACAGGTGGGAAATAATGTTTAATAACTTAAGAGATGGGAACTGAGTAAATTCAAGATACCCATTGTCCTGAGTTCAAGCCTTCCTGGTCTTCATGAAGCAAAACTATTGTCCTAACAGAAATCCTTGTCGAGTCGCCTTCACGTTTCACTTGGAAGCTGGAGATCTGTCCATTCGCCCTTGTACCATGAAGTGTGGATACAGTGGCAGAATGCCCTAGAGGATCCAGGAGTTATACAGGAATTATCTCATCTGCAGTTAACCCCAGAGATGGCTGAGCAGTATGATGCCACCGTGTTCAACCATATTCAACTTATTCTTCAACTCCCCCGCGGGTGACTGCGGCTCACTGCAGCACGGTAAGTAGGAGGAGACTGCCTCGCTCAGCAGGGCACATCTGAGTCTCCAGCAGCGGCTTTTTTATGAGTTCCCCTTGGCAGCACTTCTCTAGGACTCCTTTACTGTGTAACAGATGCAACTGCTGCAAAATATCAGAACCAGATCCACCCTAAGTAAATGGGAGTGGCGTGCGTGTTCAAGCAAGAGACACAAGCAGTTACCCTGTGACCAATCTCCATAGACAAAGAAATTCTCCATAGACATAAACCCAGTGATGCAGATAAGGAAAGAAGACAAGGAAATGAATTTCATCTCTAACAGGATCATTAAAACCTTGAAAGTGGCACCTAGGAGAATTGGGAGGCTGTTCAGGGTAAAGGTGAATGGTGGTCCTCCCAATAGTGTTGAGGAGTGCAGTGGCCAGGAACCACCTCTAATGACTTTCCCTAGAAAACTCAAGCCCTAACAGAACAATAGGTAGGAAGGTGACCTCAGACTTTCCAGTAGATGGGTCTGGAATCAGAGGCAATGCCTTTGAGCTCACATCTATTGGTCACCCCTGCCTTGAGTTGAGCTCTGGTTTGCCCACCCATAGGGCCACCCTTTCCCCTCCCTCTCCCACCACTCAGCCCCTACTCGACCTTCCAGCTTCCTCATTCCTCCTTTCCCAGGCATCCTCACAGACTGAGGCCACTGTGATCTGAGAACGTTTCATGACTCTGATTTTTTATTATTTCTAATAAATAAAAGCAAATCTTTACCCCCTCTGCTGGCCCCTTCTACTCTCATTCTGAGTTAGACTTAGAAAATCACAAAGCTAGCGGCTGAGTGCGGTGGTTCACACCTGTAATCCCAGCATTTTGGGAGGCCAAGGTGGGTAGATCACATATGATCAGGAGCTCGAGACCAGCCTGGCCAACACGGCAAAACCCTGTATCGACTAAAAATACAAAAATTTCCCGAGCATGATGGTACATGCCTGTAATCCCAGCTACTCGGGAGGCTGAGACAAGAATCGCTTGAACCCAGGAGGCAGAGGTTGCAGTGAGCTAAGATTGTGCCACTGCACTGCAGCCTTGGCGACAGAGTGAAACCCTGTCTCAATAAATAAATAAATAAATTTTTAGGAGACCACATGGTCCATTTGTGTCCCTTGGTTCTGGTTTGCTCAGATCTTGGGCAAATAATTCACTGCCCCTACCTAAGTGTTACTAATTCCATTTGTTAATAACTCCAAATGTTTCTGTTTAGCTTCTCTCCCTGGATTTGGGGTACACAATGAGCAGAATTGAAAATACCTCAGTGACAGCTGCGATCTGGACATTTGGAGAACTCGAGGCTCCACACTGCAAGATGGGGTGATAGATGGGCCCTGAAAATAGAACCCATCTGATGACCTGGAATGAAATGCCAGTAGCAGCCGACACTTCCCCATCCCACTTACATGGCACATGCCGGGCTCCTGCGTGGAACAGACCGAACTGTACCGTCAAACAGGCAGATATTAATTGGAGGCAGTTTTCTGCATGGACAAGTCTGGCATCCACTTCTGTCCAGACACCCAAATGCGTATCACGTAGCAGAGACCCAAGGCGAGATTTTGACCCTTAGGCAGATAGCCAATGAAAGGCTTATCCAATGCAAAGTATGGAGCCACAGGATGCTGCAGAAGGCAGGTCCAGAGCCTCCCCTCAGGCTCCAGCTCACACCCCAGCACTCACCCATCCACCCCTCATTTTAGCATGAGAATCAGTAGCTGTCAGAGTTAATTACAGAGGGGGCTCAGGAGGCTGCTCCCACTGTGGCCTTTTCTCCCTTCTTTTTACATGTTGGGAGGGGCTTAGAAAACGATTTTTTGCTACATCAGTCCCAAAATAGATATTCTCTATATAAGTTATCATTTTTACCACAGCAAGATGCTAAACAACATTTTTCCCTTTTACATGTGTTTTTGAAGTTGTTCTCCTAAGATAAAACGCCCCTGGGAAAAGGTTTCCCCATCGCATGCCACAGAGAGCAGAGGACAGCCAGTGAAAGTGCCCGTTGCTGAGTCTTCACCAGGCCACAGTGAATCACGGATGGCAAATAAACACGCAGACCAAGCTGCAGAGCCAGCTCCCTTTCAGGTTTCTCTGAGGGTAGCTTCTGTAGTCCTGAGCTTCTGACTGGCCATTCCCAAACTCACCGTTGAATTGGGGGATGCAGGCACCGCCTGGCCTAGAGGCGGAGAGAGACAGCACAGCCAGCCAAATCCCAAAGCTCAAGACTCCTCGGGAGTCCGAATGCCTGACAGGATGAAGCCTCGGCATAGCAACAGGCACAGAGGTGAGGCCCGGGAAGAACAATTTTACCAAGCTTTGGGTGATCTCTATGAGAAATGCTATGCTATCATCTAATCAGCGCTAACATTTAACTGCTCCAAAAACATTGTGCAAGTATTTTATCTGGGTGCTGTGGAGAAGACACAGAGGCAGGAACAACCACTGTGGAAGGGGTTCACATTCAGCTGGCCAAGGAAAAAGACCCATGATTAGCGAGAAACCAATTCCAAACCATGCAGTCCTATAAGGTCATTGGGAGGTCAGTGTATACCAGATTCGAAAAAGCTGCAGGAGTTCAAGGCTGCTGTGAGCTTTGATTGCGCCACTGCACTCCAGGCTGGGTGATAAAGTGAGACCCATCTGAGAGAGAGACAGAGAGAGAGAGACAGAGAGAGAGACAGAGACACACACAGAGACAGAGACACACAGAGACAGAGAGAGACAGAGACAGAGAGACAGAGACAGAGAGAGAGACAGAGAGAGACACACAGAGACAGAGAGAGACACACAGAGACAGAGACAGAGAAAGAGACACACACACAGAGACAGGGACAGAGAGAGACACACACACAGGTACAGAGAGGAGGGACAGAGAGAGGGACAGAGATAGAGAGAGAGAGACACAGAGAAAGAGACAGAGAGAGAGAGAGAAAGAGACAGAGACAGAGACAGAAAGAGACAGAGACAAAGAGACAGAGAGACAGAGACAGAGAAAGAGAAAGAGACAGAGAGAGAAAGAGACAGAGAGAGAAAGAGACAGAGACACAAAGAGACAGAGACAGAGCGAGAGAAAGAGACAGAGAGAGAGACACACAGAGAGACAGACACAGAGACACACAGAGAGAGAGACAGAGAGAGAGACAGAGAGAGACAGAGAGAGAGACAGAGAGAGAGAGACAGAGAGACAGAGAGACAGAGAGAGAGACACAGAGAGAGACACAGAGAGAGACACAGAGAGAGACACAGAGAGAGAGACACACACAGAGACAGAGAGAGAGACACACAGAGACAGAGAGAGACAGAGACAGAGAGAGAGACACACACACGGAGACAGAGACACACACACACAGAGACAGAGAGAGACACACACACACAGAGACAGAGAGAGAGACACACAGAGACAGAGAGACACACAGAGACAGAGAGAGAAACACACACAGAGACACACACACAGAGACAGAGACACACACACAGACAGAGACACACAGAGAGAGACACACAGAAACAGAGACACACACACAGAGACAGAGAGAGAGAGACACACAGGGACAGAGACAGAGAGAGACACACACAGGAAAAGAGACAGAGACACACACAGGGACAGAGACACACACACACAGGGACAGAGAGAGAGAAAGAGAGAAAGAGAGAGAGAGAGAGAAAGAAAGAGAGAGAAAGAGAGAGAAAGAGAGAGAGAGAGAAAGAAAGAGAGAAAGAGAGAGAGAGAGAAAGAGAGAGAGAGAAAGAGAGAGAGAAAGAGAGAGAGAAAGAGAGAGAGAAAGAGAGAGAGAAAGAGAGAGAGAGAAAGAGAGAGAGAGAAAGAGAAAGAGAGAGAGAAAGAGAGAGAAAGAGAGAGAAAGAGAGAGAAAGAGAGAGAGAAAGAGAGAGAGAAAGAGAGAGAGAGAGAGAAAGAGAGAGAGAGACAAAAAAAGCAAAAAGAGAAAAAAAAGAAAAAGAAAAAGAGAAAAACAACTGAAGGAATGTTTGAGCTAGACTTTATTCAGAGATAACATTTATTTAGGTACTACTACATGCCAGACCGTAAGCTAATATTATCTCCATTTTACAAATGAGTAAAAGACACTTCAAAATGTTCAGTCATCAAGGGTTAGCTATGCATCACCCAGACCTATTTGCTGCTAATGCCTGTTTCCTAATTGCTGTTTTATTATTCAGCTTCTCCCAATATCAGTCATCCTGCAAGAGACAGAGAGAAGAAGGGGCAGAGGGAACAAAGGATGGACTAGAGCCAAGAGTTAAAGGTAGAAGAGAGGGAGAGACATGTAGAGATGTTGTGCTATTGTCATCAAAAAGCAAGCATTGGCCGGGTGCGGTGGCTCACACCTGTAATCCCACACTTTGGGAGGTGAAGCAGGTGGATCACCTGAGGTCAGGAGTCTGAGACCAGCCTGGCCAACATGGTGAGACCCTGTCTACTAAAAATACAAAGATCAGGCAGGTGTGGTGGCACACACCTGTAATCCCAGCTACTTGGGAGGCTGAGGCAGGAGAATCACTTGAACCCCAGAGGCAGAGGTTACAGTGAGCAGAGATCACACCGCTGCACTCCAGCCTGAGCAACAGAGCCAGACTCCATTTAAACAACAACAACAACAAAAAAAAACCCAAGCATTTTCTTCCTCAATAAAATAGCTTTCATGTGTCACAAACAGCAATATTGTATTTAAATGATACATAGGGCACATGTGGAGAGCATTTAAGCAGAAGAATCATAGTTCTTCATGTTCTGCTAGTTGCATGATTTCATATTACCTAGAGAGAAGCTGAGGCATCAAACTAGTCACTTGCTCAAGGCCACCGTGAGATAAAGGCAAAAGTGGAAGAGAAATCATGTCTGTGCCTGGTGGGTGCCATCTTCACCATGCTGTACACTGCTGAAGTTTTCCAACAAAGGAAGCATCAGGATGCAATCGACAGTTTAGGAAGCTTAGTAGAGGGGCAGAGAAAAGGGCAAAAGGAGTTCAGAGAGGGTGCCAGGGGATAGACTCCTGCAAGAAGGTGTGGGCAGGCTCCAGACTTCACTGCAACCAGGAGTTTTAGTAGAAAGCAGCAGCAAAGAGGAGGGAACCATGATATAACCTGAAGACTAGTCATATCGATCAAGAGAAGAATTAAAGGGAAATCTGTGTTCTGGAAGAGAGACACAATGGTGTGCTATTGACCTTCCTGACTCAGGGTCTATGGCCCAGGTGTTGAACTCCAAGTTCAACATCTGACCACCAGGAGCAGAAGCCCCTGCTCCCTCACTGCCTCTGAATCAGTCCATGGACACAGATCAGGACACTAAATTGGCGGTTCTCAACCTTTTTCTTTCACAGCAATAACCCTGATGTTTGTTATTTGTCTGCAGCGCAGCGCACACTCTCAAATTTTGATGAGACTCAACATTTTTTGGTGAAAAATAAAGTGCTTTACACTGTTTAATTGTCACAGCTATTGATGGAAGTCTTTTGCTGTGGGAAATGGCATGTGTAAGATCATCCCTGTTGTTCCCCAAGAGCTCTCTGTAACCCTGACTCTTTCTCCTAGTTAAGAAAGCACATCAAAAGCAAGTGAGTATTGGCCAAGCATGGTTGTTCACGCCTGTAATCCCAGCATTTTGAAAGGCCGAGCAGGTGCATCACTTGGGGCTAGGAGTTCAAGACCAACCTGGCCAACGTGGCAAAACTCAGAATCTACTAAAAATACACAAATTAGCCAGGCATGGTGGCATGCACCTGTAGTCCAAGCTACTTGGGAGACTGAGGCAGGAGAATCACTTGAGCCCT
Organism: Homo sapiens; assembly: GCF_000001405.40. Lineage (NCBI taxonomy): Eukaryota > Metazoa > Chordata > Mammalia > Primates > Hominidae > Homo > Homo sapiens. Next base: position 85,894,414 of record NC_000015.10, on the reverse strand, counting down.
GGAGGCAGAGGTTGCAGTGAGCTGAGATTGCGCCACTGCATACCAGCCTAGGTGACAGAGCAAGTGAATATGTTTTCCTAGAGAAATCATCTTGATCTACCAGTGTACCAAAAAATCATAAGCACTGATTCTTTTATTGTTATAATGAATTACTTGTGAGTTTCCCTCTACAGTGTCAAGGCACTGTGTCCCAGGGAAGTCAACTAGACCTGTCCACTTGGAGATTCTTAATTTCTAAGCCATGCTGTCAATTACTGACCATGAGGGTTCAGAAGCCTCACTGGACACTACTCTGACCTGTCATTTTCTGACTTCCCACCTGCCAACAGACAGATCCCTGATGCTGTCCTCTCAACACCACCCCCGGCATGCTGGATGTTACATGGACCTCCTTCCTGATCAGAATCACCGAGTTCTTCAGTCCACTCATTTGACCTCCCTGATGCTCAACTGCTCCACACATTCCACCTTGGACAGGGATTGTGCAGTGGAAAATTTTTACGATGTGCCATTTATTATTCAGTATCATTAATGAAATGACAAGGAGAAGTAGTGAATGGTGAAAGAAAGACACAAGGACAAAGAAGCTAAAGCTACAAAATGACTATCGGGAGTGCAGGGGAGAGAAGACAAGCACCAGAGCCTACAGAAGAATGTACACACAGACTGCTTCTCTCCCCTCCTCCCACCCTCTCAGGGGTCACCCTCACACATTGCACTCATGTCCCGCCCATTACAATGTCTCATGTGGACCCCAGTGTGCCATATTTTTCTCTTCCAAACATTTCTGCTCCCACTTTACCTCCCTGACAAAAAATGACTACGTGAATGACACATAACTCAATTCCTTTTGTCCAAACACATCTTACCCCCTTTCACAAGGCTTTCCACTAACGAACAGCCTGACAGCCCCCCAGTGCTACTCCTGTCCAGTAGCCCCAGGCTTTTTCAGAAGCAACACAGAGACATGGGATCCCAAGTAAGAAGATTCTGGCCCGGTACAGTGGCTCACGCCTGTAATCCCTGCACTTTGGGAAGCTGAGGCAGGTAGATCTCCCGAGGTCAGGGCTTCAAAACCAGCCTGGCCAACATGATGAAATCCTGTCTCTGCTAAAAATACAAAAAATTAGGCATGGTGGCAGGTGCCTGTAGTCCCAGCTACTCAGGAGGCTGAGGCAGGAGAATCAGTTGAACCCGGGGCAGAGGTTGCAGTGAGCTGAGATTGTACCACTGCACTCCAGCCTGGGCAACAAGAGCAAAACTCTGTCTCCAAAAAAAACATTGTTTCCCAGAAAAATTGTGACTTTGAAGCGTAGAATTTGATGGCCTTCAAGTATAGATATCCCACAAAGAACTGGAAATACACAACCAGAAGGAATTTAAGAAGTCCCTGCTGTTATAAGTTTTATTCTTATAGGCAAGACCAACCTAGTAGACTTATCAAAACCTTACAAAACCTTTTGATGCAATGACCATATTTTCCCAATTGAACTGACCAGCATGAATACACTTCTTGGAATAAGAGGACAGAATATTTAAATTCAGGAAGGGTCTTGGGGGAAAAAGTATGTGGCTCCTTCACCTGCTGTCTGAGCACATTTTCCCCAACCACTGCACAAGGAGAAATTTCCTGGCATAAGCATTAATGTCACTTCCCTCAACTGTTGAATTAACACTTCAGATTTCCACCTTCCATAGCCTTTAAAGGAGGAAGCCAGATGTACCTGCCCCAAGAATTATATAATTTGTAGCTCGAAAGCAGTCTTGCTTTTCTGTTATTGATTTCTACGTCTAAGCAGATTTTCCAGACACTCTGTAACTTGATTCTGATTCATGGGCCTAGGGCCATGAAGTCTGATGATGTGGATGAAAAACAGGCTCATGAAGTCTGATGATTTCTGTGGACGACAGGCCCAATCGGGTGATGAAAAAGGTCAGGGTCATACCCCAGATTAGATAACTTTTTGGGTGTAATCTGCTGAATCAGCAATAGCCCATGTCTACTTCAAGAGAAAATGAACATTTAGCTCACCTAAGAAACAAGCTAATATAAAAACCACAACATGTTTTAATGAGGAAAGAGTTATCTCTGGCAAAGTAGCCCCCAAATCACCACAACTGAAGCTGCTTAATTGTGAAGCAAATGCAAATGAATTCAGAGGGAAATGGGTTTATGACTGGACCTTTGAGATAAAATCATGCCTGTCGGTGGGGCACAGTGAGTCACACCTGTAATCCCAGCAATTTGGGAGGGCGAGGCAGAAGGATCACTTGAGGTCAGGAGTTCGAGACCAGCCTGGCCAACATGGTGAAACTCCATCTCTACTAAAAACACAAAAATTAGCCGGGCCTGGTGGCAGGCACCTGTAATCCCAGCTACTCAGGAGGCTGAGGCAGGAGAATCACTTGAACCCGGGAGGCAGAGGTTGCAGTAAGCCAAGATCACGCCACTGCCCTCCAACATGGGCAACAGAGCAAGAGTCCGTCTCAAAAAATAATAATAATAATAATAATGCCCGTCATTTCACAAGTACATAAAGAGGTTCAGAGAGGGAAGGCCTGTCACTCACAGCAGGACATTTCCAAGTTAAGGATTATGCAACATCTGGCAAGCAAGTTGTTTAGTGCCACCAAAGACATAACTTGTTCATCCTTCACTTGCTCAGTATTTGTTAAGTACCTATTATGCACTAGGCCCTGATAGCCACATTGTGGTTGCTACTGAGAAAGTTCCTGAACTAAGGGGGGGGTGAGAAACACAAACCACCTGCCCTGTGAAGACAATGGATTTGCACCTAGCAGACCACACGCAGCAAGGAACTCAGCTGAAGCTGCTGTAGAGACCTCTGAGGGCAATAAGGAGGACCCAGCCACTGAGTGGATACTTACAAGAGACAACAGATGGATGCCAGAAATATCTAGCAGGTAAAAATCAGCAGAATTGTTCACGGATTGGATGTGTGGGGTGATGCAAAAGAAAGTTCTGAATGCCTCCCAGTAACCAAATAAATAGGATGTAGTGAGGAAAATACGCAAGTTTTCCAAAATGCAAGTGAGAAAAGTAAGAGACAGCCACACACAAATGCTCTAAGAGGGAGAAGGAAGAGAGATTTTTCCCCCGCCACTGGAAAAACAAGGATTGCTTCATTCACAGAAGTGACATCTGAACTAAGCCCTGAATATTGAGTAGGGTTTGAAGGGGTGGGAATGGGAGGGCAAGGCATTCTGGGTGAGGGGCTGATGTCAGCAAAGCAAGAGGAGGAGTGTTTTGTTGCGGGTCGGGGGAGGAGGGTGCAGAGTTGCCCAATGTGGCTAAAACAGAGGACTGGGAAGGGATGGACTGTGGGGGGCATGGCTGAGAAGGTGACCCACTTCCCATGCTGGGCTTTGAATGTCATGAGCAGGGCTGTGGGTTGCCACCCAGGGTAGAGGAAGAGAGTGAGGGCTTTTGAGCAGAAGGGTGACAAGATCAAAACAGAGCTTTAGAAGACACTTCCCCAATTTTTCTCAGAGTTAGTGAAACATATCATTTCCTGAGCCTAATTCTACTGCTTTGGAGACTTGGAAATGAATAAAAATGAGATGAAACTAAATCCCCTCCACATTTCTCTGGTTGGCCTCTCTCCAAGGAAGGCAGATGGAAAGAGGTGGGCACGGATAATGCTTGCCCTTTTAGACTCCACAGCCATCAAGCTGCCCCACAGAGCTTCCAAGATGGATCTCGGATCAACTGATGGACACTAAGGAGTGCTTAATGACCAGAGAAAATGTCCAGCCCCAGAGGAAAGGGAGAGCTTTCCGGAGAAGCTGGGTGAGAAGTCAGCCTTCTGGAGTGGTCTTGCAAAGGGGGCTTGAGGCAGGGAGAGAGGGAGAGGCAGCAGGACTGAGGGCTGTGTTGCCTTGCTCCTGGCAGACCCAGCTCCCTCTCAGGATGGAGCTGGCCAGCAATCAGGCACCTGAAGCGGCTGAACAGACCTTCTTCCACTGTCCCCAGGAACCTCATGGCACTGAAGTGGACCCAGCCAGTTGGCACTGGGTTTGTTGTGCAAGTGAGATGGAAGGTTACAAAGGAAAAAAAAAAAAATGAAGTCAAGGGAATAAGAAAATCCCCAGGACTTCTACCCGACCCAATGCAATAAACGCGATAGAAACAAACCCTGGAGCCAGCAGCCTGTGGTGTTCTGACGCCAGCTGCACCCGCAAATCCAAAGTCTGGCATCCTTAAGGTCACAGGCCAAATGGAATTTGTCTACTTACATGGGGGTCCCTCTTCCTTGATTTAGTACTCCCCGAGGACAAAGGACCACCCAGACTTATCCCTGGGCTCTGTCTAGACGTCGGAACCTAACACAGGGACTATTATAGCCTGGAAGACAGACGGACTGGCTGGTTCAGACAGTGAGCAAGAGGGAGCGAGGCAGGAGGGTGAAAGCCTCAACTAAACTATGCCAACAGATTAATGTCTGCTAGTAATGGGTAACTTTAATGAATCGTGTCTATGTAAATTATATTCTAAATCTAATTATACATGTTCATGTGTGATATGTGTGTATATACATACACATAAACAATTACATATTATACACACATACACACATATATATAACAGTCCCTATTGAGGATTCTGAGTTACAAAAAAGAACTTTTGAGATTTGATAACTGATTAAATCATGCTATTTCTTGCTCTCTTTTGGTCTAATCTTAACTGCTGTTTTGGAGTAGTTTGTTTCTTGGGCTTTATAGTTTTTCTAGGAAGATATCCCGAGAACCCTGTAGAAAAGCTTTGGAGGGTTTACAGAACCCCCCACTGCACCCACTCCTTGTACTCTAGCAACTGTGACCCAATTTCTTTTTATGAAAATCCACCTGCCCTAATTTGCTTGGTAGAAATGTATACCAGAGTGACAGACCTTCCCCTAGCTGAGGGGTTAAGCACATCGTCAAGGCCAGACAAATTCAACTCACTCTCTCGCCCTCTCTTTCTTTTGGGACTTTGTGTCTTGAGCAGAGTGATACAAGAAAGGAGATAAATTATTAGAGATTTAAAATAATCGTCTACTTTATTATTTTCACACAAAATAATAAAATAGTAGTTCCATGTCACTCCTGAATTGGAAGTGGAATTGTTAGGAGTATGATGAACCGCCGGAACATGGTGGGGGCCGCATAGGGGCACTCCAGTGACTATCATAGCCAAATTCTTTACCACGGAGAGGTCTAAGGGCTGGGAAATATGGCCACACTTTCCCTTCTTCCACCTTCTCCCCTGCCTTAACATGTTTGATATTAACCAAAAAATGCTTAGTCTCTGATTACTACATGGGGATGGGGAAAGACAGAAGTAAAATAAAAGTTATAATCTTTGCCTTTTATATTATTTCTCTACTACACATCAGGTGCTTTGTATATAGTATACAATTTAAAACAGCAACCCGCTGTGTAGGTGCTATTATGCTCATTTCAGGATATAACTGAGGAGATAAGGCACCAGGGATAGCAGTGTCATAATTCCCTAGTTGTGTTCTGAAATGTGTGTAGCAAACCATGGAAATAGTTCTGGAGTGGATGGAGTTCTTTAGCCAAAGCAACCTCCTGGGATTATTATATAGAATATAGGTGCACACCATGCTAAGCATTTATTTATAAAACTTAAACATATCAGGCACAAAATGACTAAACAATAACATCAGGTATGATAGGAAGTTGCCCAATACCCAAACATAATATCGAAGGCAATGTCATCCATTGGGCTGAATGTTGAACACGTAAATCACATGAGTATCCTTATAACTGTTCCACCTTGCAAGCAAAATAGCAGGATAAAGTAACAGCCAGGCATGGAAATAATATATGGGCTGGTCCTCCAATATGACACCATGCCTCTTGTGTGCTGATTATCAGGGCCGCTTAGGGATGGGTCATCTTTGGGAGCTGGGCCTGAGTGAATGGCAGCAGACATCCAGGCCTGTTTCCTTAAGTGATAAGAAATGTGTAGATCTTTTGGTTCAGCAGAACCAATTCATCCCTGCAGGAATGCTCAGTCAACTGAGTCCTGGAGTCCTGTTGCTTACTCACCATGACTCTTCCGCCTCCCGTTTACACCTATATGCTCCTGACATCCTTCCACTAAACTCTTCCTCTGTGTAAATCAGCTAGACTCCATTTCTGTTGCAGGCAACCAAACACCCTGCTTCCTAGAGGCCACGAATGACAACTAAGAGAACAAAGCATCAGGCTTTCAACAGACGTGCCAGTCACATCCAGGATGTACTATGGTCTTCAGGGGGTAGAATCATTAAGCCTCTAGAACATGCTTCCTTCAATCGAAGGCCATTTAATAAGCACCCACTATGTTCTGCATCCCATGACAACAATTTTCAGAGCAAGAGAGAACGCAAAGCCATTTTGTCCTGTCCTATCTACCCTGTTCTCAAACATTTCCTCTGATTTGCAGGGCCCACGGGAGCCATTGGCCTGGTTATGTTTCAGTCAGTTTTCTCTGGAGTTAGCACTGAATAATTCCCTAAAACTTGCTAAGTATGTCAACATGCTGCTTTGATTGTTGTTACCCTCTTGTTCCAGGATTTTGGAACACATTTTCCTGGAGGCTGAGCTGAGCAAACCCAGACTTACCTGAGGGGCTTGTGAGGGCAGCAGAGAATGGAATTGATTTCTACTATTTTTAAGTATAATACACTTTTGAGCATTTGTGTCCCACCCAACTAAATGGAGCATGGTGAAAAAGAACAGGTTTTTAACATTTTTAATGATTGTCATATTAGCTTCTGCTTCTTGAGCGCTGTGTACCACTAGGTACCAGCAACTGTTTTAGGTGCTTTTATTAGCTTCTTCATTTAATCTTCGCTGGCAAGGAAGCAACTCAGAATGTAAGTGACGTGCCCAGTACGCTGCCCAGCTATAGAGCAGGAGATGCCAGGATTTAACTTCAGGATTTTTTTTTTTTTTTTGAGACAGAGTCCCACTCTATTGCCCAGGCTGGAGTGTGGTGGTACAATAACCCCTCCCTGTAGCCTCAAATTCCTGGGCTCAAGCAATCCTCCCACCCCAGCCTCCCAAGTAGTCGGACATGTGCCACTGTGACCAACTAATTTTCTTATTGTACAGATGGGGCCCTGCTATGTCACCCGGGCTGGTCTCAAACTCCTGGGTTCAAGAGATCCTCCTGCCTCAGCCTCCCAAAGTGCAGGGATTACAGGCACAAGTCACCACATCCAGCCTAAATTCAGGTTTTTTAATTCCAAAGCTTAAAGATTTCCCCAGCCTTCCTTGATAATCCCTCTAATAATAAGTGAGGTTTTTAGACATGCAGTAGCTCAAAGGTGGTTTAATCCAAACCTTCTTATGCAAGAGAACACTGAGGCCTGTGGATTCTTGACTAATGTGGGAATATGATTAGAACTCGGTTCTCCTGAATCCCAACCCACTTCCCTTTCTACTGTCTCATCCTACAAGAAACCTTCCCTAATGCCTTTGTGCTACATATTAGGTTGATTTTTTTATGTAAATTCTGCATAAATTCATATAAAGTGTATTACACTTAAGGCATTAAATTAACTCCCGTTCCTCTTTCCATCTCCCTATGGTTCCTAATTTTCAACTCCTCCTTATTTTGAACAGTCTCCAAGTTCCTCCTGCCCGTCTGCCAGAGCAGCTGCCAGCCCAGTTTATAGCAGACTCATTTTTGCAGGATACAGTCATTTGGGAATGGTCAGGGACATCAGGGAAGCCAGGACAGAAGCCGGACAGGGCTGATTTCAAGGGCAAAAGAACAGCTGGCACTTGGGACAGCCACTGCCAGCATCGAGAGGGCAAAGTGGGCCCTGGGGAACACGAAGGAACGCCTGCCCAGCAGCCAGCGAGAGCCAGAGCCTGGCGAGGCTTAACTGTCCCAGTGGCACTGTGTTGGGATGAACAGGTGCTCCCACAGATGACTGGGCAGCTCAGCTTCTAGCAGGGATGTGGTGTGGGGTAGACTGAGCAGGGAATTGCAGATACACACAGACCAAGAGACAACCACGCCCTTGCAAAGCAGTTGAGAATAGCAGCTGGGATGAAAGTACTTATTCTTCACTTGAGACAGAGTCTCTCTGTTGCCCAGACTGAAGTGCTGCGGCACAACCTCGGCTCACTGCAACCTTCGCCTCCCTAGTTCAAGCAGTTCTGCCGCCTTAGCCTCCCAAGTAGCTGGGATTACAGGCACCCACCACCATGCCCAGCTAATTTTTTTGTATTTTTAGTAGAGACGGGGTTTCACCACATTGGCCAGGCTGGCTTCGAACTCCTGACCTCAATCTGCCTGCCTCAGCCTCCCAAAGTGCTGGGATTACAGGCATGAGCCACTGTGTCCAGCCAGAAGTACTTATTCTTAGGGGAGTAGAAACATTTGACCTTCAGCCAGTCAGAGGCTAAAGGCAGCATGACTGGGGGTGGTGCTACTCAAAGGGTGGTCCTTATACATCAGCTTTACCTGGGAGCTGGTCAAAATGCTAATTCTCAGGTCTCACCCCAAACCTACTGAATTAGAACCTGCATTTTAATAAGAAACCCAAGTAATTCCTGTGCACAGTAAAGTGAGAAATGCTGGTCTAGGACAGGGATTCTCAGTGTGGTTTCCAGACCAGCAGCATCAGCATCACCTGAGAACTTGTTAGAAATGCAAATTGTCAGGCCTCACTTCCAGACCTCTGGGGAAGGGGCTCAGCACGTGGTTCTAATGAGCCATCCAGGTGACACTGGTACGCATTAAAGTTTGAGAAGCACTGATTTCAGAAACATCTTATGCATTTTGGAGACAGGCAATTCGGAGGAATCTCAGGAAAGGAATCCTGATTGCAGCTTGGAAGGAAGACCCAGAACACCGGCGCCAGCCAGCACCGTCTCCTGCTGCTCCAGCCTCCTGACACTCTTACCCACAGACAGCAGACCCAGAATCCAGGCTTCCCTTGCCAGCCCAGGAATTCCCAAGTTTCAGAGCTCAGCTGGTTGGAGGTCACTGCATTGAGTAGTGGCCGTTCCAAATTGGTACACCATATACAATCAAGCCAAACCCCAGAAGAAAACAGAACAGCCCAGATCTGTAATCCAGCCACCAGCTGAGGTCTCTCCACACTTAAGGACCAGATACTACCAGCTAGAACTTCACTCCTTGACCTGCGGAAACCCAGGATCCTCCCCCATGACTTCTGGGTGTTCTTAAAAAGCTTATTTCAGGGTCCCTTCTAGATTCAAGTTCTGCAGCTGAATCAAGTCAGCAGATGGACAACCTCACCCATCCTCACAGGGAGTCCCTTGCCCCATGGCATCAACCTGGATATGGGACCCAGCACATCTGTGGTTACTGTTTTATGAAATATATCCCACTAGGATTTTGAAGGTAGTACACTTTCATGAAGCCACTAGGGAAAGGGGCTCCAATCAAAGAAATACAAATCATTTCCAACTGAGTAGCAGCATCTCTATTCTTAAAAGCCCCAGAACCCACCAGAATGCTCTGACACCTTCCCCTCCCTATTGTGCTGAACCCCTGTAAACCTCAATAGAGAAGGCATCAGGTTCAAGAGGCTGAAGAGACCCAGAGCAAGCACATGAGACATAGGGCTTTATTACGGAGCTTACCTACAGAGAAGAGGGTCCAGTGGCTGTGGGTTTGACCCCCTTACCTGCAGAAATGGTCCAGTGGCAGCGGGCTGGACAAGATATCCATCTCATCTACGGCCCAGTGGTAGTGGGCTGGGCAGGAAAACCACAGCCACCTGCAAATAACATGTAGTTTATATAGCATTTTAATTTAACACCCTCTGCGTAATGACCTCCACCTGGCAAGCTTCATTTAACCCAAAACTCAGGGCTTCAATTCCCTATACAGCCCGTGTTCCATGGGGTAAGCTGTAGGCTCAGATGTTCATCATGGATAAGGAATGAATCTCTGGGTTGGCCACTCCCAGATTCCCTAGCTCAGAACACACATTCAGGTGTGTCTGCCATGCAGGGTCATTCTAAGTGTATGCTTAAATGATTGCTATTGGGTGCATTTACCCCACATTCCCCTCTGATCTTCTCTCTGCTCCTCTCTTCTTTACGCCCACATCATCAAATTTCTATTTATTTATAATACAAAGAAATTCGCGTCTTGACTCTCTATAAACTATGCTTTCAACATCTTACCTTCTATACCAAGCAGGATCTTTTCTTAAATATTTTCTTCTCTAAAAGGCATTCCCTTTATCAACTATATAAATACAGGAATAGATCCAAGGGATCTATTCTTCCTCTGCCGAAGCACACAGCCCCTCCTCCTTCCCAGGCACTCCTTTGCAGAGTCTTCATTACCCCACCTTGTCCCACTTTCTTAATCTAACTCTGAGATGTTTTCTTTTATAATAACTCGAGTTATTTTCTCTCCTTCCTTTGTCTGAGACCAAACCTCATTTCTGGGACTTCTATTGTACACAAGGCCATTAACCCCCATCACAGCCTGGAATTACATGTCTCTTATCTTTGGATCATTTCCAAGGCAGCTGGCAGCTTGATACAAAAGCTAAAGTCTGGAGATGTTTTTAATGTAAAGGCTGGGAATCCCAGAGGAAAGGAACTCTATCACAGAAACTCTCCTCTCCTTTCCATTCCCAACACCGGTCTCCTAGCTCAAGACTCACTCTCTTTTCCTCAACTATTACGATAGCTGTGTATGATTTCCCCAATTCAACCCCACCACACCTCATCACCACCAACTCCACCTTTTCCCCATTCATAGAGTCAGCCCCATCCTCATAAACCTTGAATGTTCCCAGTTGCTTATAAAACAGCACCAACCTTCCCAGCTCAGTTCTTGTACTAAAATAAGAAAGGAGTAGTGGGCTGGGTGTGGTTGCTGACACCTGTAATCCCAGCACATTGGGAGGCTAAGGTGGTCGGATCACCTGAGGTCAGGAGTTCGAGACCAGCCTGGCCAACATGGTGAATCCCTGTCTCTACTACAAATACAAAAATTAGCCAGGCATGGAACCAGGCACCTGTAGTCCCAGCTACTCAGGTGGCTGAGGTGGGAAATTTGCTTGAACCCAGGAGGCGGAAGTTACAGTGAGCAGAGATTGTGCCACTGCACCCCAGCCTGGGCGACAGAGTGAGACTCTGTCTCAAAAAACAAAAACACAGAAAGGAGTTTTAGACATGAAGTCCTTGCCTGTGCCTATGTCCTGAATGGTAATGCCTAGGTTTTCTTCTAGGGTTTTTATGGTTTTAGGTCTAACGTTTAAGTCTTTAATCCATCTTGAATTGATTTTTGTATAAGGTGTAAGGAAGGGATCCAGTTTCAGCTTTCTACATATGGCTAGCCAGTTTTCCCAGCACCATTTATTAAATAGGGAATCCTTTCCCCATTGCTTGTTTTTCTCAGGTTTGTCAAGGATCAGATAGTTGTAGATATGTGGCACTATTTCTGAGGGCTCTGTTCTGTTCCATTGATCTATATCTCTGTTTTGGTAACAGTGCCATGCTGTTTTGGTTACTGTAGCCTTGTAGTATAGTTTGAAGTCAGGTAGCGTGATGCCTCCAGCTTTGTTCTTTTGGCTTAGGATTGACTTGGCGATGCGGACTCTTTTTTGGTTCCATATGAACTTTAAAGTAGTTTTTTCCAATTCTGTGAAGAAAGTCACTGGTAGCTTGATGGGGATGGCATTGAATCTATAAATTACCTTGGGCAGTATGGCCATTTTCACAATATTGATTCTTCCTACCCATGAGCATGGCAACAAAAGCCAAAATTGACAAATGGGATCTAATTAAACTAAAGAGCTTCTGCACAGCAAAAGAAACTACCATCAGAGTGAACAGGCAACCCACAAAATGGGAGAAAATTTTCAAAACCTACACATCTGACAAAGGGCTAATATCCAGAATCACAATGAACTCAAACAAATTTACAAGAAAAAAAACAACCCCATCAAAAAGTGGGCGAAGGACATGAACAGACACTTCTCAAAAGAAGACATTTATGCAGCCAAAAAACACATGAAAAAATGCTCACCATCACTGGCCATCAGAGAAATGCAAATCAAAACCACAATGAGATATCATCTCACACCAGTTAGAATGGCAATCATTAAAAAGTCAGGAAACAACAGGTGCTGGAGAGGATGTGGAGAAATAGGAATACTTTTACACTGTTGGTGGGACTGTAAACTAGTTCAACCATTGTGGAAGTCAGTGTGGCGATTCCTCAGGGATCTAGAACTAGAAATACCATTTGACCCAGCCATCCCATTACTGGGTATATACCCAAAGGACTATAAATCATGCTGCTATAAAGACACATGCACACGTATGTTTATTGTGGCACTATTCACAATAGCAAAGACTTGGAACCAACCCAAATGTCCAACAATGATAGACTGGATTAAGGAAATGTGGCACATATACACCATGGAATACTATGCAGCCATAAAAAATGATGAGTTCATGTCCTTTGTAGGGACATGGATGAAATTGGAAATCATCATTCTCAGTAAACTATCGCAAGAACAAAAAACCAAACACCGCATATTCTCACTCATAGGTGGGAATTGAACAATGAGAACACATGGACACAGGAAGGGGAACATCACACTCTGGGGACTGTTGTGGGGTCGGGGGAGGGGGGAGGGATAGCATTGGGAGATATACCTAATGCTAGATGATGAGTTAGCGGGTGCAGCGCACCAGCATGACAGACGTATACATATGTAACTAACTTGTACATTGTGCACATGTACCCTAAAACTTCAAGTATAATAATAAAATTTAAAAAAAAAAAAAAAAAACAAAGAAAGGAGTAGTGGAAGGAAGAGGGGAAAAGCAGAAGGCCACGCAGAGGCCGAGGCAGATGTCTCAGCAGGGAGGGAGGAGGACGCAGACTTGGTGTCCCCGTAAGACAGTAGAACACGAGGTACCAGCCACAAAGGTAACCCAATAGGACAAAGGTCAGAAATATTAGAAGTCATCCTGTCACTCACTAAGAGTTGGCTCAGGAATTAAACCTCTGGACACCCTTATTACGGAAAAAGCTGGAATAAGAAAACAGGTAGGGGCAGATGTCAGACGTGAAATATGTAGAAAAGTAAGCCAGGTTGAAGGCCAGTTTGCAAAGGCAATTAAATGTGTGCTTTCCAGTGAAATTACTTCATTTTCTCTTGCTGTATTCCCCTGTGAAAAAGAGCTGGATGAATGATGAGCTTTGTGATTTTATTTCCAGAATAAACTCCACACTGTTCGCTTCTTTGCCTGAACATAGTGTAAATACTTTATTTACCAAGTGTACTTGTGTGGTCTTTAATTTGGGCATCCATATACCTGTGGCCTGTGCTTTAGGGGATCCAGGCTGCCCGGATGAGAAGCCCTCCATGGTCAAGAGTTCTGTTCTGTTGGTTAAACTGCTGTGTGTGGCCCCATTACAGACAATGAGCTATTCAGTATCATTTTGATTTTGCTAATAAAAGGCTGAGAGCAGCAGAAAAAACAATCTTGGGGGCTGGAAAGAAGCTAGTTAAAAGCATCCCTTGGCCACCTACAGAGGAGAATAATGGTTTTTCCTGTACTCAAGGACCAAAACCTAACTCCAGGGGAAATGTGGGGAGTCGAATATTGAAAAGCATAGACAGGATGGAGGAAAAAAGTCACGACCATTTGTCCAGAAGGAGGAGCAGCTGTGCCAGGGTGGTTTCAATGACTGAAAGGAGAAAAACCTGGTCCGCGGAGGCCGGTGAGGGGGAAAGGTCCTCCCTAGGAAGAAGCAAACATTAGCCAGGCTTGGATTTAGAAAGACTCAGATTTGAACCACTCCTCTTGTGATTTACCAGATTACTGGCTAGCTGAATTTATGTAACCTCTCTAAGTCTCAGTCCCCTCATCTGTAAAATAAGCATCAGGGTACCCACCTCAAAGGTTTGCTGGAAGAATAAACCAAAACTGAGACAATAGACATGAGACAATAGACATGAAAGGGTTAAACACCAGTTCTGCACTCAAGAAACTCCATTTCCTTTCTTCCTTCCCTCCTTCCTTCCTCATTTCCTTCACTTATTCCAATAGATCACCTCCTAAAATGCAATACACTGGAAATGAAATAAAACCGTTCGTCCTCCTCCAGGAGAACCTCACCAATGAACCCCGACAAAGATTTGCGTCCTTGTGAAGAATCCTATGGGGATCACCCAGGGTGGAAAGAGAGATCACGGAGAAACCAATTTCATCCTCAGCTTCGGAGGGATTATTACAAGCGGCAGCGAGGAATAAGTGTATAACGATGACTGGCGTTTCAATAGCCCCATTCTTCCACCAACATTTTCAAAATTGCTCAGAAATTTTTCCAAAACCACATTTCATCCCTCGCCCCAAAACAGGCATTTTACTCAACTCTGAATGACGTGACCACCACGATCCTCCAAGAGAAAGATGGCAGCCACGTGGCAGCCACATAGCCGCCCTGGAAATACTGCAGGGAACTAAGTTCATAGGAATGCAGAGAGGGACAGAAGGTGGGGTGGGGCAGCAATTTGCCTAAGATCCAGTCAGGATGTCAGAGGTGACTATTCACACATTGGCAATGGCTCTAGTGGCACAGGCTGGAGGTCCCCAGACAAATAGGACCCCCTAAAATTTCCTCCACCCCTCAACTTCCAGATGCTCCTATCCCACCAGTCTATACTGAGATTTGAGCTGCGTCCATTCACTTTTCTGTGGGTACCCACGCTGAGAGGAGTCTTCTGGTGACCCCACGTAGGCAGAGGAACAACTGTGCTCCTAGGAAAACACGATGCCTGCATCTAGCAATACGCAGACTCCCACAGGGCGCCCCGTGGAGGTCCTTGCTGACTCAGAGGAGAGAATGTCACTTCCTGGATCACTGACACTGCACTAGCAGCTGGCTCTGCTGTCTCTAGGAAATCTCCTTGTCAAACTCTGACAAGCTCCTCAGTGGGCTCACAGCCTGAAGGCACCAGGAGCCTTTCCTACCTTCTCCTCTGGGGCTTCTCCATCTGCCTACCCACAACGTACATCGGTGTGGACAGACACAAAATCTAACCGTTTGCGTGACCATCCCAGGTCGGCAAAATAATGTGGGAACTTGGCAGCTAACCCAGAGGACACATTTCTTTATGATGGCATAATTAATTTTGATTTAAAAAAATCCATCCACAGCCACACCTGTGTGCTCTAGATATCAGAGGGTCATTTTGGCAAAAGGAGTGGAGGAGGTGTCCCTCCTGCCTGGGGGCCCCGTTCTGTGTGGCTTCTTGTCTGATTGCCCCAGACACAGCAGAGGAGCAGGGCATGACCAGGAATCTAACCCAGCCCAACTGGTTAAACTCTGAACAATGCCAGGATGTGGGAATGACAGAACCAGATTAACTGCACAAGGAAAACCTCAGACAAGCTGAAATTTACTTCGGTAAAAGAGATCCCTGACTGGATTTTTTTTTTTTTTTTTTTTAACTTTCAGCTGGACTTGCAACTTTTTTTTTTTTTTTCCAGACGGAGTCTTGCTCTGTCACCCAGGCTGGAGTGCAGTGGCATGTCTCAGCTCACTGCAACCTCTGCCTCCCAGGTCCAAGCGATTCTCCTGCCTCAGCTGGGATTACAGGTGCATGCCACCATGCCCAGCTAATTTTTGTATTTTTAGTAGAGATGGGGTTTTACCATGTTGGCCAGGCTGGTCTCGAGCTCCTGACCTCAGATGATCCACCCGCCTCGGCCTCCCAAAGTGCTGGGATTACAGGCATGAGCCACCGCGCCCGGCCGGGACTTGTGACTTTTTACTCACTAACATGTATACAACATGTATTTATTAAGCACCAGGAAACACCTCAGAGGGAGAGCATGGTGTGCTCGAAAAAGAACAGTCTTTGAAACTTGGGTCTCACCTACCTTAACCACAGTTTTCTCATCAGTGAAATGGGGAATAGTATCATCTTTAGCACATAGGGTTGTTGTTAATATTAAATATATTGCTCTAGACTGCACTGTTAGCTTCAATCTTCATTTCTCCCTTGTGCCTTGCCATGTGACTTTGAAGCCACACCTAACCACATATTTCCCCGCCCTCTGACTTTGGGTTTGGCCATGTAACTTGCTCTGACCAACTGAATGAGGTGAACATGACAATGTACCAATTCCTGACACAGGCCAGAGACCTTGTGTGTTTCCACTTGTTCTCTTGTTCCTTCGCCACTGCCAAGAGAAGAGCATGCCTCGGCTAGACCGCTGGTCCCAGGGGGAGGATGAGAAATACAAGGAGCAGAGCCACTCCAGCAACTATAGCCTGAAACAGGGCTATCCTAGCTAACTCACAGACCCTCAATGAGAAGAATCACCCAAGCAAACCCAGCCCAGATCAACTTAGATCACCCAATCCCCAGACAATGTAAATGATGATAAATGATTGAGGCTTTTTTAATCAACTGAATTTTGGGGTAGCTTGTTATGCAGCATTCTTGCAATAGCCCACCAACACCCTTACATCTATAGACACACAAGCATGTGCAGATAAAGCATCTCCCCCAGGGCCAAGAATATAGTAGATGCTCAATAAACAGAAATTTCCTTTTCTCTCCTACTATATTCCAAGTACTATGCTACATGCTGGGAATATCAAGGTAAATAAACCTCACAACCTTATGAAACTTTCAGGTTGGTGAAATAAGAACCATAAGATATCTGTTCAAGTCCTAGGGCCTCACAGAAAATTAGTGGAAGCTATGGAAAGCAAAAGCAATAGGGTGCCCTGCGGAGTCTCTTTCTCAACCTTTCCCTAAAATATGATAAAATAGTTACTTTATCAAAACAGGGGTCTCTTTTCTACTTCCTGAGACCACATCCTTCAGACACTTTCATGAGTCTATAAAGAAAAATGCCTTAAAGATGGGCAGAACTTTTCTGGCCATGTCTGTTCTTTGCCTTATATGAGGTTTCTGTTAGAAATTCTTCAAGAACCAGCCTAGTTGGGTGGAGTCAGACAGTGTGGCAAATCTAGCTAACTTGAGCTCGAAGCAGGACGCCCTTCAAGGGAGATAAAACATTTTTTATCAATGTTGAAAAAAGTAGTTCAAAAGTGGACCTATTTTTCTGAAGACAAAAGTGTACTCTCTGCAGCCGCCTACCCTCATGAAAGGAAACAGTTCTTGATGGGGACTTTGTCTGCAAGGGAAGAATCAAATCCACTAGGAGGTAAAGCACGGAGACATTAGGGATTTTATCATCGGCCATGTAATGCCTGTCATTGAATGTTCATCCAGTCATGGTACAGCCCAATAATACCCCTCTGTGTTCTGAAATCTCTCCTGTCAGGGGAGCTTTAAGGATAGCTTCTATTATTTGCCCCCTTTGAAATGACCATTCAGTGGTTTGCTGTAAGAGTAGCTTCAGCCTGACAGAGAATTATTGGCGTTTTACTTGTCGGCTCAGAGGAAACGTCTATGGGATGCCACTGGCAGCTGAGATGGCAGGCAGACAAAAGGGCACTGAGATGTGAAGCTTGAATCCAAAGGGAATGGTGTTGTCTGGAATACACTCATGCCTCAACTCCAGTGAGGCTAGCTGGTCACCTCCAGGAGAGGGACATGGTTTAGGAGAGAGTCATGCAAGGTGCTTTTGCATAAGCAGGCTCTGTTCAGGGGAAATCTGTCACTGCGATGAATAGAGAATTCCCACCCACCCAGCTGAATGGCTCCACCAGCATGTCATCCTTCTCATACTATGGACTACAAAGCACTTCCACCTACTTTCATGCACTTAAGCCTTGCCACTTATATCACCTTCATGTGATATGCATAGGTTACACCACATGAAATTGCAGCTCTTGGACTGTTTTCGACCTACGAAAACTGCAACTTCCATGTGTAGGTCTAGGGATTTTAGCAAATGCACATAATCATGTACGCACCTCCCTGATCAAGATTCAGAACATTTCATAACCCCAAAAAGATCCCTCATGTCCCTCAGTAGGCAATGCGCTCCCTGCACACACACAGCCCCTTGCAACCACTGATCTGTTTTCCATCCCTATAAAGTTGCCTTTTCTAGAATTCCACATGAATGGAATCCCACATTATGTAGCCTTTTAAATACGGCTTCTTTCACTTAGCATCATGCACTTGAGATTCACCCATGCTGTTGTGCAGATCAGCAGTTTCTTCCTTTTTATGGATTAGCAGAATTTCAATGTATAAATTCGCCACCATTTTTTTTTATCCATTCACCAGGAGACGGACATATGGGTTGTTTCCAGTTTGGGGTGATTATGAATAAAGCCACTATAAACATTTGCCTACAGGTTTTTGCATGGGTGTATATTTTCCTTTCTCTTGGGTAAATACCAAACAGTAGGATTGCTGGGTGGTAAAGTAGGTGTGCTTAACTTCACAAGAAACTGCCTATTTTCCAAAGTGCCACTTTGCATTCCCAGCAGCAGTGTATGAGAACTCCACTTTCATGTCATTGACAACACTCTGTCAGACTGGGGAAGGGAGACGGTTAGCCATTCCAAAAGGAGTGGAGTGGTATCTGGTTATGGCTTTGTGATTTTACTTTGTGTTTCCCTAATAACCGCTGATGCTGAGCATCTATTCAAGTGATTATTTTCTATCCATACTGTTTATTAAGTGTCTGCTTACGTCTTTTGCCCAGTTTTCAAAACTGGATTATTTGCTTTCTTAGTATTGAGTTGTAAGAGTTCTTTATTCTAGTTCTTTACTCACAGTTAGCATCTGGATACTAGTCCTCTCTTAGGTACAAGTTTTGCAAATGTATTCTCTCAGACTGTCTTGTCTTTTCCTTTCCTTAACACTGTCTTTGGAAGAGCATAAGATTTTAATTTGGATGAAGTCCAATTTATCCTTTTTTTTTTTTATTTTATGATTCCTGCTTTCTGTGTCCTATTTAAGAAAGTTTTGCCTAACCCAGGGTCACAAAGATTTTCTCCTATGTTTTCTTCTAGAAGTTTTCTAGTTTTAGGTTTTACATTTATGTCTGTGATTCATTTTGAGTTAATTATTGTATAGGAGGCAAGGTATGGTTCAAGGTTTATTTTTTGCATATAGATGTCCAATTGTTCCAGCAACATTGAAAAGGCCATCCTTTCTCCATTGAACTGCCGTGACACCTTTGTCGAAACTAATTGACCATATATGTGTGGGTCTATTTCTGGACTCTATTCTATTCCATTGATCTATGTGTCTATCATTTTTCCAACACCATGCTGTCTCGATTACTTTAGCTTTATAGTAAGTCTCAAAATCAGGTAGTAGGAATCTTGCAAGTTTGTTTTTGTTTTATTCCAAAATTGTTTGCGCTATTCCGTTTTCTTTCCTTTTCCATATACATTTTAGAATCTGCCTAAATCAATAAGCCTTGTGGACTATTTTTTTTTTTTGAGATGGAGTTTTGCTCTTGTCGCCCAGGCTAGAGTGCAATGGCACTATCTTGGCTCACTGCAACCTCCACCCCCCGGGTTCAAGTGATTCTCCTGCCTCAGCATCCTGAGTAGCTGGGATTACAGGTGCACGCCACCACGCCCAGCTAATTTTTGTATTTTTAGTAGAGACGGGGCTTCACCATGTTGGCCAGGCTGGTCTCGAACTCCTGACCTCAAGTGATCCTCCCGCCTCAGCCTCCCAAAGTGCTGGGATTACAGGCGTGAGCCACTGTGCCCGGCCGGTCTATTTTTAAGATGAAAACAATGACTTATCCAAGGTCACACAGTTAATACATGTCAGAGCCAGCTCAGTCTCCAATCATTTTTATGCATCCAAGTTCAAAAATCTGACCATGGGCTCCATATAGAAGTCTGAGGGAGAGCATCCTTATGGCAGATCTGAGGCAGGTCCTGCAGAGCTCACCGAAGTTCAATAATTCTGGCTCTCAATACACTGGGAAAAAAAACAACCCTGTCTTCAGTCACTCAGCCCCTGCCTTGCCTTATCAGGACACAGGGAATAATGAGAGGTTGTCTGCAATAAATCATACAATTATAGACCCAGTGTCTGGGGAGCCCAGGTTGAGCCCTGGTCTCTCATGGAGTCATGAGTCTCAGGTTTAATAAGCCCTTTCCCATTGACAAGTCTATTCAAGCAAGCTTCTGTCTCGGTTTCCTGGTTAGCATTCCCACTCCCCACTGGGAAGGAAGCCCAGCTCTGAACCGTCTTAGCTAGTGTTCTGACAACCTGCCTTGCCCATTCCAGTCCCCTCCATTGAAGGGCTGCTGCCTCTACTTTGTCACTGGCTGGGGCTCCCACACAATGAATGCTCACAGGGACAGACACGACACTTGTGCCTCTGCCTAGGCACAGCTGACTCCACCCACTGGGCTGTTCCTTTTATCTCTTCCTCCTTTCCAAAGCAAACCCAGCTTTGTACTTTCCCATTGGACAGCTTCTAGAAAGTATCCCTTCCAGGTCCTCCCCAACACCGCACAACCGGGAGGCAGATCAGGGTAGCTGTATTTTCAGGTAGGATAACTTTCTAAGTATCTGTTTGTTTCCCCCTTTGTAAAAATGCCCCCCAGGGCTGCCAGGAGAATGAAAATGAAATAAGGTGTGGGAAACGCTCGGCCTGGTTCCTGGCACATACATGGTAATAACCAGGGATTGTGTGGCTCCTCCATGCCAGACCCACTCACCCAGGCCTGTTCTCTTGCCCCGCCAACCTACACCACCAAGAAGGGAATATGCCTCTCAACAGAGCCCCTGCCTGTATTGTGTCTGCAGCTGCAATGGCTCTTCCAGCATCTATGATGAAAACAACCTTAGAAAGACTCAGCTGCGATAATTCAGCAAATCCTCCATCACGAGAACAGAAAGACTCTCCCCACAGGTCCCTTGTGTTAACTTGATTGAAGAGAAATGGGCATTTCGTTTTCATGATCCAGAAAACACCCTTTTGCACTTAGAGAAAGGAACTCAAGTCTAATATCTGACTCGATTGATAGTCTTATTCACTTTTAATGGGGAATGACCACTGAGAGCACTTGTCTACATCATTGGAGGACCTTAATGAGTCCTTTAATTCTCTTATTGCTGGCTTACAACAGAGCCAAACCAGCAGCTATCCTTCATTCCAAAAACAGTACTATTGGCTTGTGAACAAAAGAGCTTAAGATTGTTTTCTGATGGTGGTGATGAATGGCACTGGTCCACCTCACTTTCTTCACTCCCTCCCAGGACCAGCAGTGGGCACTGATGAGGAGGGGGCCTGGGTTTAGGAGGGAAGCCAAGGCTAGGGATGCAGCATTACACAGCACGCATCCAAGGATCACACCTGCCACCTTGGTGTGTTTGCATTGAGCTCTAGCCTTGGGATGACAAGTATGAGTCCTACCTGCTAAAGGAGCAAGCCTGGGGTCCTTCCTGGGCCTTCTGAGGGGAGAGGTTATTGGAAGCCTTCAGACACTAGAACTCAGAGGTCACACCAGGAACAAACCAAAAGTCACCAAATGCATAAACAGGATGGATGAGAGCATAGACCCAGGCCCACAAGGTATACCAGCAGCACACAGGAGTGCCCAGACAGATGGGATATGTTTGCAGGCATGGATCTGGAATCATTCCCTTTCCGGGACTGTTTCTAGTCCTCCATTCACTTCTGCCTTCTCACCTACTCTATCCCTCTAGTTTGGCGGGCTGACCAGTCTTATATTACCTGTCTTATATTTCCTGATTCATTTTTCAAGCATTCGTAGGTCTCCTCCCTCCTTAGAATAAACCTCATATGGAACATCCAATGGATCACCGTGCATCAGTACTGCCCTCATGGCAGCCCTGGCTGAAGATGTGATCAGCCCACTTACCCCAAGCATCTATTCCCAGCACAGCCTGAAAACAGCTCATTCCAGCCCTGGGAGAGTACAGGCAGGATCCTAAAATCTGACCCACAGATGGCAAATACCTCATACATATGCCTTGATGCTCCCAAACTTTAACCACAACAAATGTGGCGTTCTTCTCTGATGGGCCAAAGACAGTGGAGTTCAGCCTAAGTCCCAGATCGGAGACGAGGTGAGAACGTCCGGAAGTGACCAACCATCCCAGTTTGCCTGGGAGTGTCTCAGTTTTCAAACTGAAAACCTAACTCCCAAGAAACCCCTCCATTCCAGGCATTCCAGGACAATGGATCACCTTAGCAGAAGACATCAAACCAGAGGAGGCCTTGCAGAAAACCCCACTGTGGAGGGAGCCAAGGGCAAGGTGGGAGGAAGCTGGAGGCAGGGCCAGAAGCTCTGCAGATGGTTCTAGAGACTGGCTGGATGTTCCTTACCTGAAGAAACTCTACGAGTCAGGACAGGCTAACTGGGGTAAGAAACGACCCCAAAATATCAGTGGCCTGAGGTAATAAAGGTTTATTTCTTGTTCACATCACAAATTAACGTGAACTGGCAGTGAGGCCCTCCCTGCATCAAACAGCAGTTCAAGGATGTGGATGCCTTCCATGGATCGGTGTGGCACCCCTTAGGGCAGAAGTCTCCCCTGGATCCTCTGTGTTCATATAGCAGACACAGGAGGAAAGGTGGGGGAGAGAGCTGTGCAGGGGCTGTAGGGCCAGGCCTGGAAATGGTTTTTCATCACCGCCTCCCACATTGCATTGGCTGAAACCGTCACAGGGCTGATGCTAGCTACAGGGGAGACGGAAATAGAGCTGGCCGGCTGTGCACCACAGGTAAACAGGAAGGGGGTTGTGTGCTGGCCCTCCGGGTTGCCTCTGTGTTCACCACTCACTAGTCATCAAAGCAGGACTCTCAGAGCTCAGAGGGTCCAAGGGCCTCCCTCGTGCCGCAAGCCTTCTCCATACCTGGCTTCAACATGAGAATGCTGTGGAATGCCAGCAATAAAAGGGAAAGAAGCCGGGCACGGTGGCTCACGCCTGTAATCACAGCACTTTGGGAGGCCGAGGTGGGATCACCTGGGGTCAGGAGTTCGAGACCAGCCTGGCCAACATGGCAAAACCCCGTCTCTACCAAAACTACAAAAATTAGCCAGCCGTGGTGGCATGTGCCTGTAATCCCAGCTTCTCAGGAGGCTGAGGCAGAAGAATCACTTGAACCTGGGAGGCAGAGGTTGCAGTAAGCCGAGATAGTGCCACTGCACTCCAGCCTGCGCAACAGAGTGAGACTCCTTCTCAAAAAAAAAGAAAAAGAAAAGAAATGAAAGAGAAAGAACCAGCAATTACCCAAGAGAAATGAAAGCATATGTTCACACAAAAACTTGTACACAAATGAACATAGTGGTAGCCAAAGAGTGAAAACAACCCAAGCGTCCACCAATGGATAAATGGGTAACCAAAATGTGGTGTAGCTATATAACGGAATATTATTCAGCCTTGAAAAGCACTGATGAATGAAGTACTGATGTATCTACAACATGGAAGAACCTCAAAAACATTAGGCTAAGGGAAAGAAGTCAGTCATAAAAGGACAACAGTATATGATTCCACCTACAAGAAATGCCCGAAATTGGTAAATCCATGGAGAGGTGCATGGGAATAGCAGTGACTGCTAAAGGGTATTTGGAGTGACAAAAATGTTCTAGAATTAGTAATGGTTTCACAAGCTTTCAATACTAGAAACCACGGAATTGTACATCTTAAAAGGGTGCATTTTATGACATATGAATCATATCTCAATAAAAACAGAAAAAAATAAAAGGAGGGCAAAGTTGTCACTTGATTCCCCATCCAAGCCCTCTCACACCTATCCCCAGCCACCTGCTGCGCCCTTTGGCGTCCTTCCATGGGCTCCTGGCACCCCCTCATCCCGCAGCTGGTGGATAGCATGGGAACATGTACACACACACACACACACACACACACACAAGCACATGCTATGGTTGTCATGGTGATGTGTGACATGTCCAACCCTTGGGTCTACTCCTCATCTCCAAAGCAGCAGGTGGGCAGCTGTGCCAGGGCAGGCAGCGGCTGCAGATGTGAAGAGCACCAAAAGCATTGATTGCAAAGGGCATTATTGATCTTTGTTTCTGCGGGGCACTGCCAGAGCACCGGGGCTTTCCACTAAACCACGGAGCTTCTGGAAACAGTAATCTAAAAGATTTTTTTGCCGTCTGGTCTTTTAATGACCCTTCAGCTCTAAACACCAAGGCTTCCAGGGAAGCACTCTGGACTAAAATGCTAGTTTTTATTACTCAGGCAGCTGCAGAAAGAAAGTTCTGAAGACGCAGAAAAACTGAGATTTCTTTGTTTCAGGAAAACTGCCCCTGAATGAGAATAACCCCTTATATTTAGAGATTGTGTAGTATGGTTCGCTGAGCTTGGTCACACTCACCATCACATCACTCTTCATGCCAATTGTATGACAGAAATGGATTAGTCCCATTTTAAAGATGGAGCGAATGAGGCACAAAACAGTAAGAAGTTTGTCTAGGGTCATCTGCCCACAAAGAGTAGAACTTGGTCTCAGATAATACTGGAGTCAAGGCCGGGCTCAGTGGCTCACGCCTGTAATCCCAGCATTTTGGGAGGCTGAGGCAGGAGGATCACCTGAGGTGAAGAGTTCAAGACCAGCCTGATCAATATGGTGAAACCCTGTTTTTACTAAAAACACAAAAATTAGCCGGACGTGGTGGTAGGCGCCTGTAATCCCCGCTACTCAAGAGGCTGAGGCAGAAGAATCACTTGAACCTGGGAGGTGGAGGTTGCAGTGAGCCAAGATTGTGCCACTGCACTACAGCCTGGGTGACAAAGGTAGACTCTGTCTCAAAGAAAAACAAACAAAGAAAAGCCCCAATACCCCATTGAGCTGATTTCATTCATTCACTCATTCACAAACATTTACTGAGCACCTACTGTGTGCCGGGCTTTATTAGGGGTGATGATGCAGTCATAAACAAAACAACCCAGGAGTCGGCCTTCGTGGACCTTGGGAACCTGTAGGATGGGGTAAGTCATTTCTTACTTACCAGTAAGTAAAGGAATAAATAAGTACTTAATTTCAGTTGATGATCAGTGCTTCATAGAAAAATAAGCTAGAGATGAAACTAACATCTTAACTGAAACCTGGGTAATAAGAGGGAGGCACTGTGCCAGAACATTAAGGGTGGAGAGAACTGAAAGTGCAGTTTGATGTCTCCAAAAACACCGAAAGATGGCCAGGTAGGTAAATACAGTGAGCAGGAGGGAGAACAGCTAAACAAGGTCAGAAGGTAGGCAGGTACTATCCAAGTAACCTACAGATTCAGCGCAATCCCTATCAAAATACCAGTGGCATTCTTCACAGAAATAGAAAAAAAAATCTTAACATTTGTATGGAATCATTAAAGATCCTTAATAGCCAAAGCAATCCTGAGCAAAAAAAACAAAGCTGGAGGTATCACACAACCAGGCTTCAAAATATACTACCAAGAGGCTGGGTGTAGTGGCTCACGCCTGTAATCCCAGCACTTTGGAAGGCCGAGGTGTGTTGATCACTGACCAGGAGTTTGGGACCAGCCTGGCCAACATGGTGAAACCCCGTCTCTACTAAAAATACAAAATTAGCCAGGCATGGTGGCACACACCTGTAAATTCCAGCTACTCCAGAGGCTGAAGCAGGAGAATCACTTAGAACCTGGGAGGCAGAGGTTGCAGTGAGCTGAGATCGCACCACTGTACTCCAGTCTGGGCAACAGAGGGAGATTCTGTCTCAAAAAAAAAAGAAGAAAGAAAAAATACTACAAAGTTTTAATAACCCAAACAGCATGGTACTGGCATAAAAACAGACACACAGACAAATAGAACAAAATAGAGAACCCAGAAATTAATCCAGGTATCTACAGCCAACTGATTTTTGACAAAGAAATCAAGAACACTCACTGGGGAAAGGACAGTCTCTTCAATAAATGGTGCTAGGAAAACTGGATATCCATATGCAGAAGAATGAAACTAGACCCCTATCTCTCACCATATGCAAAAATCAACTGAAGATGGATCAAAGACCTAAATGTAAGACCCCAAACTGTAAAACTACCAGAAGAAAACATAGGGGAAATGCTTCAGGACACTGATCTGGGAAAAGATTTTATGAAGAAGACCTCAAAAGCATAGGCAACAAGAACAAAAATAAATAAATGAGATTACATCAAACCTAAAAAGCTTCTGCACAGCAAAGGAAATGATCAGCAGAGTGAGAAGACAACCTACGGAACTGGAGAAAATATTTGCAAATTATTCATTTGACAGGGGATTAATATCCAGAATATATGAGGAACTCTAATATCTCAACAGTGAAAAAAATCCAATTAAAAAATGGGCAAAAAGGCCAGGCATCATGGCTCATGCCAGTAATTCCAGCACTTCAGGAGGCTGAGGCCAGAGGATCACATGAGCCCAGGAGTTTGAGACCAGCCTGGGCAATGTGGCAGGCTATCTCGACCAAAAATACAAAAATTAGCTGGGTATGGTCAGTGACCAGGGTTGTGGGGATAGGAGGCCCTGAGGTGGGAGGATCACCTGAACCTGGGAGGTCAAGGCTGTAGTGCTCCTTGATCATGCTGCTGCACTCTAGCCTGGGTGACAAAGACAGACTGTCTCAAACAAACAAACAAAGCAGTGGGGGTGGACTGGAGGAGAAGCAAATGATCTCAACAGATTTTTCTCAAAAGAAGAAATACAAATGGCCAACAAATAAATGAAAAAATGTTCAATATCACTAATCATCAGGGAAATGCAAATCAAAACCACAGTGAGGTATCATCTCACCCAGTTAGAGTGTAAAGTGGCTATCATCAGAAAGACAAAAAATAACGAATGCCGGTGAAGATATGGAGAAAAGGGAGCTCATCTACCATTGATGGGATTGTAAATTAGTACAGCCACTATGGAGGAAGTGTGGAGGCTTCTCAAGAAACTACAAATAGAACTACTGTAAGTTCTGCAATTCCACTATTGGGCAGTTTTCCAAAGGAAAGGAAATCAGTATATTGAAGAGACTTTGCACTCCCACGTTTATTGCAGCGCTATTCACTATAGCCCAGATATGAAACCAATCTAGGTGTCCAACAAAGATGAATGAAGAAAATGTGGTGTATATGCACAAAGGAATACTATCCAGTCATAAAAAAGAATGAAATCCTGTTTTCGCAGCAACATGGATGGAACTGGAGGACATTATGTTAAATAAAATAAGCCAGGAACAGGAAGTTAAACACCACATGTTCTCATTCATATGGAAGCTAAAAACAGTTGCTCTCATAGAAGTAAAAAGTAAAACAGAAGATGCTAAAGGCTGGGAAGTATAGAGGGCAGGGAGGAATAGGGAGAGATTTGTTACAGGATACAAAATCACACCTAGATGAGGAGAATAAGTTGCAGTGTTCTATAGCACTGTAGGATGACCATAATTAACAATAAGATACTAGATATTAATAGTTTCGGGTAACTAGAAGGAGGATGTTGTACGTTCCCAACACAAAGAAGTGATAAGTGTTTGAGATGGTGAGTGTGCTAACTACCCTGATCACTATATATTATGTGTATTGCAGCTTCACTATCAACCTCATAATTATGTACAATTATTATGCCAATTTAAAATTTTTTTATTTTAAATTTTTTTTAATTTTAATGTTGAAAAAGAAGTTAGACAGCAGCCAGACCATGCAGGGCTGTGAAGGCATGGCAAGGAGTTTGGAAGCTATTCTGGGCATGGTGGGAAGCCATAGGAAGGTTTTGAGCAAAGGCATGGCCTCATCTGACTAACACTTTCAGAGCATCTCTCTGGCTGCTGCAGGGAGCGTACAGACCAGCGAGTCAAGGGAGGAGGTGGGGTGGCCGTTCAGGATTGCTGCAGGCGCAGGACAAGAATGAGTTCTCTGCCCGAGGTCTGATACCTTAGCTAGGTGTTCAAATTTAGCATCGTCAGTAATGGGACCACATGACATCATGTGCCGCCTGAAGTGATGTAACAGGAAGGATGCCAGATTGCCCTGGTAGTATTCTTGCCAAGATACTTAACCTGGATTAATAATCCAGAATCAGTAAGACAAATCCAGAGTGCTGGGCATTCTACAAAACACATGAACCGGACTGTTGAGAAATGTCAATGTCATAAAAGATCAAAAGCGGAGGAGGAGAGCTCTACAAAAAAGGTGACATGACAACTACATGAGGGTGTGATACTCAAATGGACTCTGTAGCAGGGGATTGAAAATTACTATAGGCCAGGCGAGGTGGCTCACACCTGTAATCCCAGCACTTTGGGAGGCCGCGGCAGTCGGATCATTGGAGGTCAGGAGTTCAAGAACAGCCTAGCTGACATGGTGAAACCCCATCTGTACTACAAATACAAAAAAATTAGCCAGGTGTGGTGGCACACGCCTGTAATCCCTGCTACTTGGGAGGTAGAGGCTGCAGTGAGCTGAGATCACACCACTGCACTCCAGCCTCTGCCACAGAGTGAGACTCCATCTCAAAGAAGGAAGGAAAGAAAGACAGAGAGAAAGAAAGGAAGGAAGGAAGGAAGGAAGGAAGGAAGGAATGAAGGAAGGAAGGAAGGGAAAGAAAGAAAATTATTGTAAAGAACATTGCTGGGACCGTTGGGGCAATTTAAATGTGATTATAAATTAAGTAATGTATCAATGTTAAGGTTCTTGGATATGGTGATGTTGTGGTTATATAAAGAAATGTCTTTATTCTTAGAAGACGTGTTGAATTATTGAGAGGTAAAGTGTCAGGGTGTCTGCAACTATCAAAGCTTTCATCCAGAGGAAGAGAGAGAAAGATGAAATAAATGTGGCTAAATGTGATAATTTGATGAATCCCAGTGAAGACCAAGAAGATGTTCATCTTCCAGCTTTTCTATAGGTTTGAAACTTTTCAGAGTGAAAAGTTGGGAGGATGGAAAAAGAAGTAAATAAATAAATGAATCAATTGAGTCAACAATTGAGATTCCTTTTCCCTAAGACCTTTATAAGCAGTTTGCTCACATTGATTCTGATGTGGACAGTTCTGGATGTAAAGGGGGCAGGCCTAGAATGAATGATCTTTCCTGGCGTCTTCCAGATTGCAGATGTACGTTTGGTTTGGTTTGGTTTGGTTTTTAATTTGGGAATTACAAAAGCAGCAGGGACCCTGTGCGAAGCTTGAGCGGCTGCTGCCATCTTGTGGATCTCAGCACTTCTGCAAAGTTGGAAACATATTCCAGGTCACTGCAGGCTAAGGAGCCCCCCTCCACAGCCTGGGAAGGAATGCCCTGGAGGTTAAAGGTGTAAGTACTTTTGTTAACTTCCTTCCAGAGTGAGTGACGATGCAGCCTACATCCTTCAGTGGGTTCTCTGGATGCACAGGGTCCTCCGCCTTTAAAGTCAGCAGGCCTGACAAAACTTGCATCGATTTCACTCTGCAAAATTCAGGCTAGGGAGCCATTGAGTGGGAATTTACTGACATTTGCACGCAATATTGACTTGTTGGCATTGTTTTCTTATTCATGAAGTCTCATAAAAATGATACTGGGCACTTCTGATACCAGCTTTTCAAACCTCTAATTGGTTCACAGACAAAGCTTTGAAAGCAGGTGTGGGAGGGTCACGATCAGAGACAGTGAGAAAGAGGAGGGAGTGGACTACCTTAGAAGGAGAGCGGGAGGAGGAGCCAGAAAAAAAACTAGCTTCTAGATTTTCTTTGCAGGCAGGGTGGATGTGGTAAGAAGCTCTGAGGACTTTCAGGCTAGGTGGACTTGGGTTTGCATTTCAGCACTGAGGTGCCACTTTCTGCTTGGGGCAGCTTAGACATCTCCTGGGGATTGTTATCTGAATGGTGGTGATAACACATAGGGGATTATGTTAAGGACTGAGGATGTTTTAAGGCAGCAGTTTTAAACTTGAGCAAGCCCCAGAATAATCTAAAGGGTTAAAACATAGATTTCTACCCCGACTCCTCCCCCAGAGTCTCTGATTCAGCAGGTCCCAGGTGGTCCCAAGCATCTGCATTTCTTTTTTTTTTTGAGACAGAGTCTGGCTGTGTTGCCCAGGCTGGAGTGCAATGGCAAGATCTCGGCTCACTGCAACCTCTGCCTCCCGTGTTCAAGCAATTCTCCTGCCTCAGCCTCCCAAGTAGCTAGGACTACCGGCACATGCCACCATGCCCAGCTAATTTTTGTATTCTTAGCAGAGATGGGGTTTTGCCATGTTGGCCAGGCTGGTCTTGAACTCCTGACCCCAAGTGATCCTCCCACCTCTGCATTTCTAATAAGTTCCCAGGCAGCGCTGATGCTGCAGGTCTGGTTACCATGCTTTGAGAACCATTGTTTTAAGGACTAAAATGGCATAAACATATGGTAAGCATGGGGTAGGTAGTCAACAATCAATCAGACCTCTGCCTGACACTTCCCAGGGCTCCTTCCAACACACCCCCTTTGAGTAGGCACAAGCATTTCTGAGACTGAGTATATCTCTACAAGACATGTCCTGGGTGTTTATCTTAGACATGAGATAAAGCAAAGTTCTCACAGTAGTGCAGGGAAAAGACCCACGTGGGCTTAGGCTGGGATTTCAGGCACTGAGTGGTGCGGCTCAGGCTTGGATGGGCACAGTTGCTTGGCCCCACCCTGTGCAGAGACGTTTGACTGAAAAAGACACAGGCCTTTTTTTTTTTTTTTAATTTTACTTTAAGTTCTGGGATACATGTGCAGAATGTGCAGGTTTGTTACATAGGTATACATGTGCCATGGTTGTTTGCTGTACCTATCACCCGTCATCTAGGTTTTAAGCCCCGTATGCATTAGGTATTTGTCCTAATGCTCTCCCTCTCCTTACTTCCAACTCCCTGACAGGCCCCAGAGTGTGATGTTCCCCTCCCTATGTCCATGTGTTCTCATTGTTCAACTCCCACTTATGAGTGAGAACATGCGGTGTTTGGTTTTCTGTTCCTGTTTTAGTTTGCTGAGAATGATGGCTTCCAGCTACATCCATTTCTCTGCAAAGGACATGAACTCATCCTTCTTTATGGCTGCATGGTATTCCATGGTGTATATGTGCCACATTTTCTTTATCCAGTCTATCATTGATGGGCATTTGGGTTGGTTCCAAGTCCTTGCTATTGTAAATCATGCTGCAATAAACACACGTCTGCATGTGAAGACACAGGTCTTATGATGGAATAAGACACTGGACACAGGTCTTATGATGGAATGACAATACCCTGAAGAAGCACCTGAGAAGGAGCCTGTCTTGCCCAAGTCTAAGGGCAGGGCTGGTTTGGCCTACACGATATCCATTTCCCCATCTCTGGGAATAACACCTCAATCTCCCTTTGGGGAGCCACTCTCCACCATCCCTGTCCGTGTGGTTCAAGTGGGGCCCCCTCCTCACTCCTGCCGCATGGGCTTGTGCCATTCACACCCAACACAGAAGTGCGTGGTCGACGGAGTAAGCAGGTCTGAAATCCAGCCGTTCTCTGCCAGCAAAGCATGTGCTGCTTAGCCCAGTGGAAGGGGCGCCCTTTTGTTACTCACCTACCCTAAACGGTCACCCCATCACCTCTCCAGGACCAAGGTCCATTCCATTCCTGACCACAGTAAGCAAAAGGATCACTAGCAAAAATCCCTGACACAGCAGACCACATCGATGGCAGCGCATGGGAAAGAGACCTGAAGGTTTAGTTATTTCACAAGCCCAGTGAGCCAACAGATTGATACAGCTATCAAAAAGCCAGAGGGAGACAAAAGTCTAGAGCTGTCTTCAACCGTATTTATGGAAGTCTAGCATTCAGATCAAAGCAAGTCACGAATCCGATGTGATTTACACCAATCAGGCCATAATAATTAATTTACATTCTTAATAACAAATTAGGTCTGTGAAAAAAACTAAAAGCGGACAATAATCAAAAGCAAACTCCAAATGTAGTTCAGGTGTAAATTCTGTGTGTTCTTTCAAGGTTTAATATAAAGGTTCTCAACCCTAATTGCACATTAGATTCAACTGGGGAGCTTTTAAAACTATTTGTGCTGGAGCACCCCCGCCCTCAAGACTCTGATTTAATTGGACTGCGGTGGGACCCAGGTAACAGTATTTTTTATTAAAGCTCCCCCGGTGATCATAATATGCAGCCAGAATGAAAACCACTGGTTTAATATTAAACATACTCTTTGGAAAATGTGAGCATTAGCTAAATAGTGCAAACGTCATCTAGACCAGCAGTTCCCAGCCCAGAACGATTGTCAGAAACACCTGAGATGGGTTTTTAAAATTCAGGTCCCTGGCCTGACCCTTAATCTACTCAATCAGCATCTTCTCTGATGAGGCCCAGAACTCAGCATATTTTTCAAGGACGCCTGCTCAATTTCAATCATCAGTCAGTGACCTACCATAAAGTTTCTCCACTGGGGGTGCATCTCAGCTCCACCTGGGCTCAACCCAGGCACACGGAATCAGTGTGGGGGCTGAGCATCAGTATTTTCGAATTTCTCCTGATTGTCCAGACTGGGGTGAGAACATGTTTCTCTTAGCTGAGCCACAGTCAGGGGGTGGCCAACAAAGAGAGAAGCCTGCTGCTTGTGGTCAAGCTCAACTCTTCTGCCTCCAGAGAGGATTTTGAACCCCAGCCTCCTCCTGTCCTTGCCCAGCATAGCAGTCTTGAATAAGCTGGATGAATGAACTATCTTTTCTCTTTTTTTTTTTTTTTTTTTTTGAGATGGAGTCTTGCTCTGTCACCCAGGCTAGAGTGCAGTGGCGCAATCTTGGCTCACCGCAACCTCCACCTCCCTGGTTCAAGCCATTCTCCTTCCTCAGCCTCCTGAGTAGCTGGGATTACTGGTACCCGCCACCATGCCTGGCTAATTTTTGTATTTTTAGTAGAGACAGGGTTTCACCATGCTGGCCAGGCTGGTCTTTAACTCTTGGCCTCAGGTGATCCTCCCGCCTCAGCCTCCCAAATTGCTGGAATTACAGGCGTGAGCCACTGTGCCCGGCCTTGAACAAATCTTTCACTTGCCATCCTTTGGTATGGATGTTGCCTTCAGCTGAATTGGCTAGGTTCAAGCTGACACCACTTCGGCTAACATGATGCTTTCCACTGATGGGCTTCACGTGCTCACAGGAGGATGTCCCCCGCCAATGGTTGCGGATCTCCTGGCACATCTGGAGAACATTTTATAAACAGCCAGGACTTTGGTGGTTGGGAGTTAAGTTTGAAGATGAAACTACTCTTAGATTTATGTTGTTAATAAAGTGAGCTTCTTTCTGTTCATATTGGGGAAAATGCTTAGACTTTCAGCAGTGTCTGGCATGGCCCAGCACTGTGCAAAAACTGTCCACCTAGAACACAAGGTCAGCAGAAGAACAAAAGGTTGAAGGTGGCCTGTGAGTGAGGGAGAGGCCGTAGACACAGGGCCCTCAGGGCTGTGGACTCCATGGGGTTTCAGTGCCCACCTGACCTGAAGTCTGCCCCATGAGTCTTAAAGAGGCCCTTGTGAGAGTCATCCGGCAGCCAATCTGACCCCTGAACTCAGCGCACAGGGCTGCCCACCTGGGGTCCCTGAATATATCATCCAATCCTGGGACGCGAGAGCCCCTCAGCCCCCTGACATGCACACCTTGATGACGATTCACTCAACAGGGGCAGCTCTGACCACACAGGTCTTACGACGGCATGACAATACCCTGAAAAGATCTGACACTGTGAATGCAAAGAGCCACGGAGCCTGATGCAGACCTGGGGTGGGACCATGAATCTACATTTCTAACACTCCAGGTGACGCCACAGTTGCCGTCCAGGGGCTACACTTTGAGTAATTAAATCCAACTCAGAAGGCATGAAATGATGACGTGACCAGCCACTCCCGTGAGTGACAGGAATGCAGGAAAAAGGCAAGGCGCTGCCAGCGTTCCCAAGGCACCCCACTCACTCTGCCTCCTTCCCTGCAGAGAGGTGACATTTCTGAGTAGGCAGTGAAACTTACAAGAAACAGCATATGGTTGGGCATGGTGGCTCACGCCCGTAATCCCAGCACTTTGGGAGGCCAAGGCAGGAGGATTACTTGAGGCCAGGAGTTCAAGATCAGCCTGGGAAACATAGCAAGACCTCATCTCTACCAAAAAAAAAAAAAGCAAAAAAAGTTTTAAAAAATTAGCTGGATGTGGTGGCAAGTGCCTGTATTCCCAGCTACTCAGGAGGCTGAGGTGGGAGGATTGCTTATGCCCAAGAGTTTGAGGCTATAGTGAGCCATGATTGTACCACTGCACTTCAGCCTGGGCCACAGAGTGAGACCCTGTCTCAAAAAAAATAAAAATAAAAAAATTTAAGGAAACGGCACAGAAGAAGATGTCCAGAGACTCACAGTCTAGTACTGATTCCTCCATTAGTAAGCTCTGTGACTCTAGGCAAATCCCTGTATCAAATGTACTGGCTGCTGCAACAGGCCCTGTAACACCTAATACAAACAGAGACCTGACAATGTTTGAAAATCACAAGTGGGTGCACAAATGTAAGGCCAAAGAACCACGATCAAAAGTTCAGAGGTCAAAGGGCAACATGCTGCCCCCAGCATCCTCACTCCTGTCTTCATCAGCCACTGCCCCGCAGGTCCCTTAGGGAGACAGGCACCATTAGTGATGCAGAGAAGTTCCCAGCAGGCTTCTCCTAGAGCCGCACTGTGTTCATAGCCAGTGAGCCCCATCAACCTGGTCATCCCTGAGGCAAGAGGCTTTAGAAAAGGACATCAGATCCCTCTTGGGCCTTAAATTCCTAGCTGCTGTGTTTGACTATTCTTTTCATCCTTCAGCCCCTAAGGAGGTTATGGGGAAAGTATGTACTCTTCAAATGTTGTGGGCAATGAGGTAAATATTAATGTTAGTACGTCTCCATTTGATAAGGAAACAGCAGGATGAGGAATCGGGTTGGGGAGTGGATCAGAACGACAGGGCCTTTGGGAATATAGTCCTGCAGTGAGTTTAGAGATGGTATATGGCTATACCCTGAAATTCCTAGGCACAGAGTGGCTCTGAGTCTCACTTATGGTTTCTACATCCCTACCCCCTGCACCCATCACACTATCATCCGCCAACACACACTGAGACCCTTAGATCTAATTCTAAGTTAACTGCTGTTTGGGGGTGCAAGGGTAGCTAGCAGAGATGATCATGAGTCAAAGAAAAATAAAAAATAAAAACACATTCCTTCTCTCCAGGAATTTAAAACTAAATATAGACATTAATTATAGTATAAACAAAAACTGCAATAAAAGTCAGGATAAGCCAAATGTCAAGCAAGATTTTCAGATGTGAAGTGCTAAGAAGTTCTATAAGGAAAAAAACCCTTGGCTCAGGCGTTTCTGACATGTGGCTGCAACACAGGGCAAAGAAGGAAAATAGGAATCATAGCCATTGTGGCAGCTGCAATTGGTTGAAGGCTCACCATGCCCTGCAGAATGGCACTAAGGGTTTGGGCCACACCCGAGGAGGCCGCAGGAGGAGTTGGGCAATGCTGCCCCCTAGAGGTCAGCTGAGAATGTCACTGAACACTGGAGACTTAAACCCCGGGCGCCGCCGACCGTGGTGTGCTCAGAGTCCGGATGCTCTGTGGAAAAAGACATGAGCCTGTCTCACCTTGAGGTGAGACCTGGGGGTTCAGACCTGTTCAGATCTTCTGCTGGGTTCGGAGGAAAGGACTCGGCCACGAGGGACGTGTGCACGCGCGCGCAGACACACGCACACTCACACACACACATGCACACACACACACACACACACACCACTGCTGGGAGCTCCCTGGGTAAGAGCTGTCGGTAAGTAATGCAAGCTCTTTATCCACCTGCTGTGAGCACAGCCTGCAGGAAGGGGAAGCAGGACAGCAGCCCAGGGTGTGACCCACAGGTTCAGCAGACAGAGGGCAAGTGTATCAATTCACTCTCCTGAAACGAGAGGGCTACTGTTACTAACTTCAGTCTTTCAAATGAGAAAAAATGATCATCAGAAATACTGGTTCCCGACCAGGAGCGGTGGCTCACGCCTGTAATCCCAGCATTTTAGAAAAAAAAGAAAGAGAAAAGAGAAGAGAAGAGAAATACTGTTTCCCTGGGCCAGGTGTGGTTTCTCACTTTGGGAGTCCGAGGCAGGCGAATCCCCTGAGATCAGGAGTTTGAGACCATCCTAGCCAACATGGAGAAACCCTGACTCTACTAAAAATACCAAAAAATAGCTGGGTGTGGTGGTGCACACCTGTAACCCCAGCTACTCAGGAGGCTGAGACATGAGAATCACTTGAACCCAGGAGGCAGAGGTTGCAGTGAGCCAAGGTCATGCCACTGCACTCCAGCCTGGGTGACAGAGGGAGACTCTCTAAAAAAAAAAAGAAGAAGAAGAAGAAAGATAAAAGAAAGATAAAATGGCCACTAGTTTATTTTCTTCATTTTCACTTCATTAACAAATAATAACATATATGTATGGAGTACATTGTGATGTTTTGAAATATGTATACATTGTGGAATGATCAAATCAGGCCAATTAACATATTCAGGATCACTAATTTAATTAGTGGCAAACCCAAGCAGTGGCTCTAGTTCTTCCCAGGGTAGAGTGGGAACTGTCAGAACTAACATTCAGGAATGAATCTTAATGGGGAAAATAAATTTTAACTATCAGAATTCTAATGAGAAAACAAGCATGGCTTAAATATGCCTGAGGTTTGAGTGTGTAGTAATCTAGAGTCAAATTACCTTGATGCAGATGAACTCAGGGCATCCTAAAAATTGCAGACCCAAGATGTACAGGGAAGTCCCAGTGCAAAACAGCTCCCAACCCTCTGCCCTGTCTCTACATTTATCTCCTTTTTTTTGCTTGTTTGTTTGTTTTTTTGAGGTGGAGTTTCACTTTTGTCACACAGGCTGCAGTGCAGTGGCGCGATCTTGGCTCACTGCAAACTCCACCTCCCAGTTTCAAGCGATTCTCCTGCCTCAGCCTTCCAAACAGCTGGGATTACAGGTGCCCACTGCCACACCCAGCTAAATTTTGTATTTTTAGTAGAGATGGGGTTTCACCACGTTGGCCAAGCTGGTCTCAAACTCCTGACCTCACGCGATCCACCTGCCTCAGCCTCCCAAAGTTCTGGGATTACAGGCGTGAGCCACCATGCCTAGACTTCTACATTTATTTCTGTGTGCTGCCTCTGCTGTGTCAGAAGTTAAGTGGCTAAAGAAACAGTTAAATTCTTACCTTAGAACAAGGAAGGAGAGAAGCCTTCCCTGACAACCAAATAAATATAAAATGATCTCTCCCTTTCCTAATGACAATAAGTTAAATTTTTTTTAAAGTTTGGGGGTTAATTTGAATATGCAAACTTTCTAGGGATGTGGAAAGAATAGTCAAAATGTCTACTTGTTAATATTTCATTTATTCACTGATGTGTGAACTGTTCTGCAGTAACATAATTTGAATTTTTTACATCATGTATTATTACAAGTGCCCATGTCCATCTGCCATTCATGACTTCTTTTATAGCCACTTACATGTGGGGTTGATGGTGTCTTTCTTGGTTCCCAGCTTCCTAACTGGAAGAAATGTAAGGTATAAGGGTAAAAAAGGCAAGACCCAGGATAGATTCATGCAATTTGCCAAAATTATTTGTTTCTATTTTTCTTAATTTTTCAGAATCAAGAATTTGAAAAAAAATTACACCATCAACATTGTATTAGTCCGTTCTCACAGTGGTATAAAGAAATACCTGAGACTGGGTAATTTATAAAGAAAAGAGGTTAAATTGGCTCACAGTGCTGCAGGCTGTACAGGAAGCATAGCAGCTTCTGCTTCTGGGGAAGCCTCAGAAAACTTTCTTTCTTTTTTTTTTTTTTTTAAATGTGAAAATTAGCATTTATTTAAAGGATATCTAAATATGGAAAATACACTATATAGACTGAAGGAGACAAAGACATTGTTAATGGTTAAACAATGTCCTCTCCATTCCAACCTAACTTCGGTCTACTGAGCAAGTAGAAGACTGTGAGAAATAAAACAATTACAGAAAATTAAGACATTTCTTTTTGTCACCTCAGTGACAGTGTGTAAATTTCCAAACCAATTCCACACAATTGCACTAAAATATAAATACTAACTTATCCTTTCAATGGATACTTTTTTCTTTGAGTTCCTCCAACAGAGTCCCTTTCCTTGTAAGTTTTGAAAAGGTTGTCAACATTCCTTCATCACAATTCAGCAAAACACTAGCTGCTATGTCATGCTCGGGTATCAACAGCGGAACTTCTTTGCACTCTCCCTCCTTCTCTCTTCTGAATAACAGGAAGGGTAAGAGTCAGCAGCACACATTGGATTTAGAACTGAAAGTATCTTTGGTTCCCTGCTAAGACTTAACTATCTCCTAGGAACCACATCATCTTTTCTTTTTTTTTTTTTTTTTACTTCAATCATGGCGGAAGGCAAAGGAGGAGAGAGCGTGAGTTGTCTCACATGGTAGGAGCAGAAGCAAGAGAGGAAAGAGGGAGGTGCTACATACTTTTAAATGACCAGATCTCGTGAGAATTCACTCATTATCATGACAACAGCATCTGAAGAATGATGCTAAACCATTCATGAGAAATCTGCCCCCATGATCCAATCACCTCCCACCAGGCCCCACCTCCAACACTGAGGATTACTATCCGACATGAGATTTCAGCAGGGACACAGATCTAAACCATATCAAGCATTATATATAATTTTAGAGATGCCAGGTTTCAACAATTGTTGGGAAAATTTTGTATTTCAATAATCTTGTTTCTGGAGAAATGTTTTTATTTTCAATTATCTCATCACTTTAAAATAATAAAATCGGCCGGGCACAGTGGCTCACACCTGTAATCCCGGCACTTTGGGAGACTGAGGCGGGTGGATCACCTGAAGTCAGGAGTTCGAGACCAGCCTGGCCAACATGGTGAAACTCCATCTCTACTAAAAATGCAAAAATTAGCTGGGCATGGTGGCGCATGCCTGTAGTCCCAGCTACTGGGGAGGCTAAGGCAGGAGAATTGCTTGAACCTGGGAGGCAGAGGTTGTAGTGAGTCAAGATCATCCCATTGCACTCCAGCCTGGGTGACAACAGCGAAACTCTGTCTCAAAAATAAATAAATAAAATAAAATCTTGGCCAGGCACGATGGCTCATGCTGTAATCCCAACACTTCGGGAGGCCGAGGCGGGCAGATTACCTGAGGTCAGGAGTTCGAGACCAGCCTCACCAACATGGTGAAACCCCATCTCTATTAAATACAAAAAATTAGCCAGGTGTGGTGTTGCATGCCTGTAATCCGAGTTAAGGCAGAAGAATCGCTCAAACTCGGGAGGCGGAGGTTGCGGTGAGCCGAGATCGCGCCACTGCACTCCAGCCTGGGCAAAAAGAGCGAAACTCCATCTCAAAAAAAAAAAAAAGAACTAGATGTATGGGCATTTGTAATATTTTCCATCATCACATCCCTAGAACATCCATAGTTCAAGCAACCCCAGCTCCCTGCAGGCTGAGCTCCTGCAGTAATATCCTGCACAAAAGCAAATCCAGCCTGCAGCCCAGCCCCAGGATCCCTGCTTGCCTCGGAGCCCTGCTTCCTAACCTCATGCATTAGAGAACATTAGAGTCCAAGCGGCAAGGTGGTTTGTTACTGCATTGGGAGGAGTGATTTCTCCTCTCTCGTTCCTTATTGCCGTGCTCAGTATGATAATATTTCCTTGATTTTCTCTCTATCTCTTTGACAGTTGCATATCAATGGTCCCTTCTGCACAGAGCAGACTTTTCTGAACACTCAAAAACTCCTTCATACACACAAACACACACACACACACCCCAGAGGACAAGGCCAATTCTGCCCATAAATTTGTCAACTTGTTGCCGTAGAGACAGACTCCGGGTACCCCAAATGTGGATCATCAGTGCCACCTAGTGGAACATTGATTATCCTGCATCCTCCAAATCCCAAGACTTCGGATGGGAGACAATGGTTAGGTTTTTTGTTCGTTTTGCTTTTTTGTTTTGTTTTTGGTAGCTATCTGGAGCTCTCTTTCAATGTTCTAGGGATCTGCCCACCAGAATCTACTTCAACCAACTTCCTCCAGGCTGGTTCCTTCCCACCCGCAAAAATAGATCACATAGGGCACTGGCAGCCCATCTCACGTTCGGGACGCTTGGCTTCACTACCTCATGCTTACTTCTTTTTTTTTTTTTTTTTTTTTTTTTTTGGCGGGGGGCTCTGTCGCCCAGGCTGGAGTGTAGTGGCGCGATCTCGGCTCACTGCAAGCTCCGCCTCCCGGGTTCAAGCCATTCTCCTGCCTCAGCTTCCCGAGTAGCTGGGACTACAGGCGCCCGCCATCACGCCCAGCTAATTTTTTGTATTTTTAATAGAGACGGGGTTTCACCGTGTTAGCCAGGATGGTCTCGATCTCCTGACCTCGTGATCCGGCCGCTTCGGCCTCCCAAAGTGCTGGGATTACAGGCGTGAGCCACCGCGCCCAGCCACCTCATGCTTACTTCAAAAAAACGCCGGAATGGCTAGGTCCCTTGATTGTCACATATAACAACAAAGACAAACCAACACCTGATCCATGGGAGAGTAAGATTCCTGAGGATTAAAAATAAATGAAGTCCTCCTTTATCATTTTATTCATTTGTCTGGCCTGTGTGGCTTCTATGGCTTCTAGCTCACACATTTGAGTGTGCAACAAGTCAATTTTCTTTATTTTCTTTTTTTCTTTTTTTTTTTTTTTCTTTTTTTTTGAGATGGAGTATCGCTCTTGTTGCCCAGGCTGGAGTGCAATGGTGCAGTCTTGGCTCACTGCAACCTCCGCCTCCCAGGTTCAAATGATTCTCCTGCCTCAGCCTCCCAAGTAGGTGGGATTACAGGTGCCCGCCATCACGCCCAACTAATTTTTTATTTTTAGTAGAGATGGGGTTTCACTATGTTGGCCAGGCTGGTCTGGCACTCCTGACCTCAGGTGATCCACTCACCTCAGCCTTCCAAAGTGCTGGGATTACAGGCGTGAGCTACCGCGCCCGGCCCAATTTTCTTTATTTTCTATACAGAGCTTACCCATTGCACTGGGTAGCAGAAGCTAATATCAATAAATGCAGGGTCTCCCACCCTCACTTTATCCAAGTTCCAGAGGACATAGAGGGTGTTGAGTCTGGGCAGGGTGGGTCGGGAGCATCTTATCCTCAGAGTGTTATCAATCCACACTCCATCCACTAACAAGGCCCCCTCCCTACTCATTTCAAGCCATGACCCTGGGGAAGAGCGCTGCTAGGTCCACCTGGTCGAGCCCTGGAGTGTCTGCAGGCCAAAGCCACCCCCTGCTGCTCTGCCCTGCCAACCTTCTTGAACAATGGCTGCCAGGTGGTGCCAGTGAAAGAGGGAGACCCTTGGTGAATATTTCCAATTATAATCTGTCAACCAAGATTTATCACACTTAGGGGCATGACCACACTTTGGGGCTTGTGGTACATAAAAATGAGAATGCAAACTCCTTTCTTACAATCAGAGACTCCTTGGGAGACAAACTAGTCAACCAAATACAGAAATCTTCCCAGCAATTGTTTCAAGGGAGGCACAGGCCCACAAGCCCTTCATCGAAACACTCGGGCCAGATGAGTTTGGGGATTCTGAATTTGTCGGATTTTAGGAACTATCTAGGATGTCACCCATAATCTATCACATCCATATTTCTGCAGCAAAATGTACCAGCAGTAAAGTGAAATAAAGACAGGCAACAGCCTCATGCTGGCTCAGGCAGGATTTGCCACCAAATGAGTTTTAGCACCAAAAAGAAAAAACTTTCAGTTTTCACAACTTTTTGGAGTTCAGAATTACAGATAAGTGTTTGCAGACCTGTATGTACAATGCAGAGAAGGGACCTGTCAGTTGGCCCAAAGACGTCAGGAGGCTTCAGAGAGGAGGTCGTGTTTGAGCTGAGATCTGACAGTGAGAGCTGGTGGGGAGACCAAGCACAGGAATCAGGTGAGAACTAGCAGAGTATGAGGGTGGGGGCAGCCTCCCCTAATTCGTTGTGCTTGGAACTATTAAGCCAGACTCTTCACTCTTGTTGGCATTCCCAAGTTGGCCTCAAAACCACCCTGTTGCAGGAAGCCTGCTGGAAGCCTTCTCTGACTACCCACCCTCTCCTATGTATATTGCATTGACATTCCAAAAAAGTCCTGTGGGTTTTCTTTCAGGCCACTACAGATATAAAATTCCTTGAGTACAGGTACAAAAACAGACACATAACACATATTCAGTGGAACAGAATAGAGAACCCAGAAATAAAACTGTGCACCTTCTTTCAAAAGAAGACATACATGTGGCCAATAATCATAGGAAAAAAAGCTCAACATCACTGATCATTAAAGAAATGCAAATCAAAACCACAATGAGATGCCATCTCACACCAGTCAGAATGGGTATTATTAAAAAGTCAAAAAATAACAGGTGCTGGTGAGATTGTGGAGAAAAAGGAATGCTTATCCATTGTTGGTGGGAGTGTAAATTTGTTCAGCCATTGTGGAAGACAGTGTGACGGCTCCTCAAAGACCTAAAGACAGAAATACCACTGGACCCAGAAATCCCATTACTGGGTATATACCCAAAAGAATATAAATAATTCTATTATAAAAATAAATAAAATGTGGTACATATACACTATGGAATGCGACGTAGCCATAAAAAAAGAACAAGATCATGTCCTTTGCAGGGACCTGGATGGAGCTGGAGGCCATTATCCTCAGCCAACTAACACAGGAACAGAAAACCAAACACTGCATGTTCTCACTTATAAAATGGGAGCTAAATGAAGAAAACACATGGACACATAGAGGGGAACAACACACACTGGGGCCTTTCAGAGGGTGGAGGGTGGGAGGAGGGAGAAGATCAGGAAAAATAACTAATGGGTACTAGGTTTAATATCTGGGTGATGAAATAATCTGTACAACAAACCCCCATGACATAAGTTTACCTATGCAACGAACCTGCACTTGTACCTCTGAACTTAAAATAAAAGTAAAAATAAATAAATAAATAAATAAATAAATGCAGACTATGGCTGGGCTCGGTGGCTCACGCCTGTAATCCCATCACTTTGGGAGGCCAAGGCAGGTGGATCACAAGGTCAGGAGTTCGAGACCAGCCTGGCCAACATAGTGAAACCCCGTCTCTACTAAAAATACAAAAACTTAGCCGGGCGTGGTGGTGGGTGCCTGTGATCCCAGCTACTCTGGAGGCTGAGGCAGAAGAATCACTTGAACCCGGGAGGCGGAGCTTACAGTGAGCCGAGATCATGCCATTGCACTCCAGCCTGGGTGACAGTGAGAGACTCCATCTCAAATAAATAAATAAATAAATGCAAAATAAAAAAGCTAAATGAGAAGATATAAATAAATAAATAAAATAGAATTCCTTCAGTACAAACAGGACCTTCCCTCTGTTGTATCTTTCCTACTCTATACTTATCCCTATTTGAGGATTCTCAATAGCAGCCATTCCCTTCCCCATACAACCATAACCACCTCAGCACCTGACAGTAACAACAGCAACACGTTCTTAGAGTTTCTTGTCTTGGGGGAATGAGGGTGACATTAGTCCTGGGGGAGAAAAGGAAGGGGGGAAATCTCTAGGGGTTGTGTGCACTCACTTGTGTGTTTCATCTCCTTACCCCCGACTCACAGAACAAAGAGACAGAATCTTTTTCTGTACGTTAATTCTTGAATCAGTGGAGTTTCCAATGCAGTGATGTAAATATTCAGGCAATAAACAAGGAGCAGATGGAATGGCCTTCACAGTTATTTTCATGTCTCTGTCAAAATATTTACTTTGTACATAAATCTCTTTTAAAATACATTAATTTGGCATTGCATGCAAACATTTCCATGAATATTAATCAATCACCCCCAAATTACTAAATGTAGCTTCCATTTCAGCATTTCATCAGCACTTACCAAGGATGGTTGGGCTGGGCAGGGAGTGGTGGCTCATGTCTGTAATGCAGATCACTTGAGTCAGGAGTTCAAGACCAGCCTGGCCAACATGGAGAAACCCCGTCTCTACTAAAAATACAAAAGTTACCTGGTTGTGGTGGCCCATGCCTGTAACTCCAGCTACTCGAGGGGCTGACGCAGGAGAATCGCTTGAATCTGGGAGGTGGAAGATGCAGTAAGCTGAGATTGTGCCACTGTGCTCCAGCCTGGGCGACGGAGTGAGACCTTGTCCCCAAAAATCCAGAATATAAGACCCAAAAAGGCCTTGCCTAAACAAAGGGATGGGCGTCCCCCGGACACCGGTTCAGGGACAGG
Source organism: Homo sapiens (assembly GCF_000001405.40). Taxonomy (NCBI): domain Eukaryota; kingdom Metazoa; phylum Chordata; class Mammalia; order Primates; family Hominidae; genus Homo; species Homo sapiens. The sequence goes on along the minus strand of NC_000015.10, from coordinate 85,850,136 downwards.
GATGGGGGAAGAGGAGGGGCCCAGGAGGGCTTCACCCTCTGTCCGGGTGCAGGCCAACACCTGCTCTTGCCCACCCAGCCCTCAGGGAAATCAGCCTGCCACACCACCCGCTGTGTTGTGAATAGATGCTAAGGCAATTCAGAGAGCTGGGAGGAGGCTAGCGGAGAGGGGATATTTCTGGAATGTGTCTATTCTCTAGGGCTACAGTAAATCAGCCTGAACTCCTTAGAACTCTATTTGCTGCACATCACGTGAATGCAAATCCGTATGATTGGTTCAGAGTTTGTTCAGCATGGATCTCCTCTCCATTTTTGAAGACATGCACAGCACAAAACCAAATATATATTTGATACACTGAAAGCATGTGGTAGATTTTAATGGAAATGGTTACCCCTTGGCAAAGAAACAAAGTATGGAGGAGGTCGGTCAGTCTGCAACACTGCCCTCACCACCACCCCAACAGGGGAAGGACTCCTTGGAGGCATCCACTCCACTCCACTCCATAGTCTGCCAGAGGGACTCGGCTGTGACCTACAGTGAGCACCAAGGACCGCCACCTGGTGCTACTAGCAAAGGTTTGGAGAAGGAAGTTCAAGCTCTCTGAATTCCCTTCAGTTCAGCAAGCCCTCTTAAGAACCTACTTCAGCCGGGCGCGGTGGCTCACGCCTGTAATTCCAGCACTTTGGGAGGCCAAGGCAGGTGGATCACCTGAAGTCAGGAGTTCAAGACTAGCCTGGCCAACATGATGAAACCCCATCTCTACTAAAAATACAAAAATTAGCCAAGTATGGTGGCAGGTGCCCCAAATCCCAGCTGCTCGGGAGGATGAGGCAAGAGAATCGCTTGAACCCAGAGACAGAGGTTGCAGTGAGCTGAGATTGTGCCATTGTACTCCAGCCTGGGTGACAGAGCAAGACTCTGTCTCAAAAAAAAAAAAAAAAGAACCTACTTCATGCTCAGCCTTGTGCTAAGCAGGGAGGATGAAAAATAAAGTTCTGGCTTGGCCATGATGGCAGAATAGTTTTGGTAGGCAGGATAACGACCCTCAAACATATCCACATCCTAACATCCCAAACCTGTGCATGTGTTATCTTATATGGCAAAAGATTTTTGTAGATGTGATTAAATTAAGGATCCTGGGATAAGGAAGGTCATTCTGGATCATCCTAGTGGGCCCAGTGAATCAAAATAGTTGTCCAGGGTGGCAGGAGTTCATGGGCTGAGTAAGGTGTGCTGTATTTGTAACAAAGGGATTAACGAAACTGAGCACATCAACAATGATCGAATGTGCAAATACCAGAAATTAAAGACACTACAAATTCCTGTCCTATCTTGGAACATTTTGTGGCTTGAATTGCCAGATGGGAGTTAATGACTTATAATTAATGGAAGGTCAAATCAACTGACTTGTATAATCAACAAACTTACAAACTCCCATTTTACCATGTTGAGGCAGTTTGGTGTGTTAGAAAGAGCCAGGGGTCTGGATCACCTGGTAATTTACTATGTGCATTTTGGCAAATCACTTAAATTCACTAGATCTCTGTTTGCTCATGTGTAAAATGAGAATAATGCCACCTCATCAACCTGAGTAAATTACCTGGCCCTGAGCCCAACAATAGGGACCTATTATTGAAGATCTGTGTTAATATGGCAATAATGATAGGGTCTATGCAATACTAAAGTGTCTGACTGAAAAAAGAATAATTAAGATAACCCTTATAATACATTAGCCACCACAATATCAATGGTGTCCCTATGTGGAAACATTCATAGATCTGGTGATAAGATATGTACGACAGCTATTGCAAATGACTGTGAGTAAGACTTAGAAAGGGCACGGAAGGGACAGGTACCCCTCAGACACCAGTGCCCCGGGATGATAAAGAATCAAACACAAGGCATCCATGGGGTCACTTTACAGGTAATGCATCTTTAAGAGAAGAGATCTAGGTCTGAACAGCTGAGCTGACATTCTGGGTATCCTGCACCCACCATGGCAAAATTTCAAAGCTTCTTGCAAAAAAAAAAAAAAAATTATTAGACATCCAGACTCCCCTTTTGTTTCCCACCTTTTTGTACTCTTCATGTAGTAGACAGCCTGATCCCAGGTGGGAAATTATCTTTGAACTCTCACTTTTCCATGCTATCACTTTCCCATATTATCACAATAACTCAGGAGTCTGTATTCAGTGGGGGTGTAAGTGGATTAGATGGAGAAAGAGAGACTTGGAGCAGAAAGAAGACAGAATGTGATGCTCAAGTGTTGGAATAAAATTCCTCTTTACAGTTACTCTAAGGAGCTGTTTCTATGCATTTCCAGTAAGCTTAATGATCAGTTTCCACAGCATCAATCATGTTGAGAAGCTTCATTATAAAACAGCCAAAGCATTATTCATAGTCACTCTGATGATAATATGATCATATTATGGGAATAATATTAAAGCACAGAAAAATAAGAAAAATGGGTAAGGATTGGGTTGGAAAGGTACTACTCTGGGAAATATAGAGCTAGTTATCATCTGGAGCACCCATCACAGGCTTTACATGTTTAGAAAGAATCGCAAGATTTCAAGTCTGCTTGTAGAGAAATACTCAGTGTCACATTTTACAACCCAGTGTGCTCCTTTAATAAAACACATTATTTAATATTGTATCTCAACGTGATTCATTCTACTATGAGTAGTTAATATTCTTCCCAGGTGCTGAAGAACCAGAAAGTCTGGAGCTGAAAATTCGAGGGTCAGGCCAGTTTAATCCCCTTTTGTTCTCAAATCAGTGATAAATAGATTACCAGAAATATTCTCAGGGACTGAGACAGACAGGCTGGACGACATAGAGAATTTATTTCAAATCCAGCTTCTGTGAATCCAGATGTCCATTCATCTCCTATGCAAAATGCTGCCGGAATCATCTGCTGACTTGTAAATGTCCATTTCCAGTCATAGAGCTCTCCCACATTAGCTTTGGGATCATGACCCAGGGAGCTGTTTAAATATCAGTCCAGCAACCTGCACTGTTAAGCTTTTTTTTTTTCCTAATCTTTTGAATTTTATTAAGACTTATTTTATCACCCAGCATATGGTCTAACTTGGTAAATATTCCAGGTGCATTTGAAAAGAATGTGTATTCTGTTCTTGGGTATAATCTCCTATAAATGGCAATTAGGTCCAGGTAACTGATAGTATTTACATATTCTATATTCTTACTGATGCCTTTGTCTAATTGTTCTATTAATTACTGAAAAAGGGATGTTAAAAATATTCAACCAGGATCGTTGACTTGCCTAGTTGTCCCTTTAATCTTCTCAGTTTGTGTTTCATACATTTGGAAGTTCTGTCATTGGTCACATATGCATATAGAAGGGGTGTATGTTCCTGCTGATTTGGTTCTTTTATTATTATAAAATAATCTGTATTGTATCTCATAATACTCCTTGCCTTGAGGTCTATTTTGTCTAATATTGTTATAATCACACCAGCTTTCTTATACTTACTATTTTCATGGTATGTACTTTTCCATTCTTTTACTTTTAAACTATCTGTGTCTTTACATTAGAAGGGTGTCCTTATAGGCACACTTTATAGAGCATAAAGACGGGAATTGCTTTTTTATTCAGCCTGATAATCTCTGTCTTTTAATTGTTATGTTTTGTCCTTTTACATTTAATGCAAATGTTGATATGTTGGTCTATCATTTTATTATTTGTTTTCTATTTGTCCTATCTCTTTTTTGTTCCTCTGTTCCTTCTTTTCTACTGTCCTTTGGGTTAATCAAACTTTTTTAGTATTCTATTTTAACTCCTCTATTGGCTTTTGAGTCACTTGCGACATTATCGTTTCATTAACCTCGCCTAGTCCTTTCTACCACTATTGTCATTATGGTACATCTACATACATTATAAACGCCACTGATTTGAGAAATTGTATTCAGCAATTAATATATAAATAATACATAAAATAATATATGAGTCGTTTGAGTTCCTTATATTCTGATTATTAATTTGTTGTCAGATGAACAATTTGAAAATATATTCTCCCATTTTTGTAGGTTGTCTCTTCACTTTCCTGATTGTTTTCTTTGCGTTTGTGCAGAAGCTTTTATGTTTGATGTGATCCCATTTGTCCATCTTTGCTTTGGTTTCCTGTGTTTGTGAGGTCTTACTCAAGAAATCTTTACCCAGACCAATGTCCTGGAGCATTTCCCCAATGTTTTTGCCTAATAGTTTCATAGTTTCAGGTCTTACATTTAAGTCTTTAATCCATTCTGATTTGATTTTTGTAAATAGTGAGAGATCAAGATCTAGTTCCAGTGTTCTGTATATGGATACCCAGTTTTCCCAGCACCATTTATTGAACAGACTGTCCTTTCCCCAATGAGTGTTCTTGGCACCTTTGGCAAAAATTCTACCTTCCAATACCAGATGAAGAGAGAGGAAAGTAGAAGGAGGAGAAAGAAAAAGAAAGGAAAGGAAGAAAAGAGAGGCAAACCAATGAGTTCAATTGGCCAATTCACACAGTGGCTTCTGTACCATCACTCTGAACACTGTCCCAGCGTAGCCCAAAGCCCCCTTGCCTCCTTCCAGCTAAGACCCTTGCTGGCCCAGATCTGTACAATCAAGAGTAGTGTTCTACACTGGAACTTCAAGTTATTCTTCCTAGTTCATAGGCACAAACTCTGCCTAAAGCACAGGACATGCCTGGATCCCCAACCACAGCCACATTCAGAGCCGGCTCCGTGTCTTCTCACAAATCCAAGGGTCACCATCTCACCTTCCCTCACAGTGAGTTTGTACTCCAAGGCCCTTGGCGTCCTTTCCTCTCATAGGGCCTTGCTCAGGACCAAGTGTTCTATACTCCTACAGGTTTCCTGATCTTTTAATTCCAGACAGGGGTTGGAATATCAGTCCTTTTCCTTCCACAAGGCCTCTAGGCTTCTAATGCAAGTCGATGCATTCTCCAACTCCCGCCACCTCCCCCAGCCACATCCCCTTGCACTTGGAGGGGAGAAGCAGCCTTGAAGAGCCAGATAAAGCATCCTGTTAGCCTCTGTTCCCAGGAAAGGATTATCTACCGTTCCTCCCCTTGCATATTGATAGGAGCTACCCAAGTGGCTCTTCAGGAAACAAAAGAGCCCATCTCATAGTGACTTTTAATATCTGGCCAGACATTGAAGATACTGGGACAGCTTTTAAAATCCAGCTTCACAGAGTACTCAAATATACAAATATCTGCTTGCACATTGAAAGCTGGCAGAATATGCCACATCAACATATGCTGCTCTGGCGTAAGGATTATTTTGAGCTATAGGCACTTTAAAAAATACATGAAAGAAGGGCATTCTGACCCTTCCCTTTCTCTTCCTGAAAGAAGGAGATAACACCTCCTTACAGAAGAGGTCCTCCCTGTGCCAGAAGGAACGTTTGTTCTTATTATCAAAGATGGGAAGTTGAGACCAAGAGAATCCTATAAAAGTAAGTCTTGTTAAAATTTGTATCTTTCTTGAGCCTCCTCATATACTTTTTTTTTTTTTTTTTTTTGAGTCAGAGTCTCTCTCTTCTCTGTCACCCAAGCTGGAGTGCAGTGGCACAATCTCGGCTCACTGAAACCTCTGCCTCCTAGGTTCAAGCAATTCTCCCGCCTCAGCCTACTGAGTAGCTGGGATTACAGGCACCCGTCACCATGCCCAACTAATTTTTGGTATTTATAGTAGACACGGAGTTTCACCATGTTGGCCAGGCTGGTCTTGAACTCCTGTCTTCAGGTGATCCGCCCGCCTCAGCCTCCCAAAGTGCTGGGATTACAGGTGTTAGCCCCACACCCAGTCAGCCCCCTCACATACTTTAGTTACTTTTCCACAATTGCCTGCCTTTGTTCAACTTAATATAAGAGCATTTAGGTTTTGTCACTTATTTGGGTATTCATTTTCTCATGAGAGCTCCCATGTCACATGAAATTTATATTAAGTAAATTTGTTTGCTTTTCTCCTGTAAATCTGCCTTATGTCAGTTTAATCCTCAGGCCCAGCCACAACACCATAAGAGGGTATAGGTAAAAAATTTTGCCTCCCTTATGCTGTCTTCTCTGTTCCTTGATGGTGAGGATATTGGGACTGACCGAGGGTTTGAAACCCCAGTGGCTGAAACAACACTGACACAGAGGAAATGTGCCATAAATGTTTGAGAATGGATGAACAGATGAATGAACTAACTGCTGAGTTAAACCCAGGCTGGGCTGACAAGAGGCAGTAGAAACAGCCTGCAGGGAGCAGAGAAAACACCTGTACATTTCCCTACACACTCCTCACTTAAGAGTGGAAACGGGGGTCTTATGGAGTCCCATTCCGTTCCAGGCCACCGGCAGAGTCGTGTTTGCTAGTGCACAGGGCCACTGTATGTTCACTCTCTGTGTACATCCACCAGACCTCCTCTTCTGCCCCTTCCTTCCAAGAGGCTAGATGCAGAAGTGGGCCAGTGTCTTCCCCAAGATCCACCATCTTGTGAGCCAGTGTCTTCCCCAAGAGTCAACATCTTGTGAGCCAGTGTCTTCCCCAAGAGCTGCCATCCTGTAAGTGAGCCAGTGTCTTCCCCAAGAGCCACCATCTTGTGAGCCAGTGTCTTCCCCAAGAGCTGCCATCTTGTAAGTGAGCCAGTGTCTTCCCCAAGAGCCAACATCTTGTGAGCCAGTGTCTTCCCCAAGAGCTGCCATCTTGTAAGTGAGGCAGTGTCTTCCCCAAGAGCCACCATCTTGTGAGCCAGTGCCTTCCTCAAGAGCTGCCATCTTTGCCTCCACGCCATCCCTCATGGAGAGACAAAATACTGGAGCAGGAAACTCTGCCTCCCAGGTTTCCTGTCACAGCAGATGCTGCAGAAACATCCTAAAGTATCCCTGTTGCATCTGATGACCAAGTCAGAGCTGGATGTGTCATCCTGCCCTTCATCCATCATGAATCTGAAGTGGTTTTGGTTACTCTGATGATGCAAGTGTGAATTTCCTTCATGAGACCTGAGTCTGCCATCCCTGAGAGCTGGAGCTGAGCCTCCAGATGTGAAAAAGAAGAGCAATGGCTCCTGTTGATTCTGGGGGAGGGGGGTGGGATAGCATGCCTCCCCCATGCAGCACCTGCTCCAGCCCCTGGCACGAGGAAGGTGCTCAGCAAGGGCGAGTTGCTGCCCTTACCATCTTAGACTCACATAAAGAGCACATGCGGCCGGGCGCGGTGGCTCACGCCTGTAATCCCAGCACTTTGGGAGTCCGAGGCGGGTGGATCATGAGGTCAGGAGATCGAGACCATCCTGGCTAACAAGGTGAAACCCCATCTCTACTAAAAATACAAAAAATTAGCCGGGCGCGGTGGCGGGCGCCTGTAGTCCCAGCTACTCGGGAGGCTGAGGCAGGAGAATGGCGTGAACCCGGGAAGCGGAGCTTGCAGTGAGCCGAGATTGTGCCACTGCAGTCCGCAGTCCGGCCTGGGCGACAGAGCGAGACTCCGTCCCAAAAAAAAAAAAAAAAAAAAAAAAAAAGAGCACATGCACCTATAAAATGGCCCAAAAACTGAGACTCACAAAAGTTAAATATTACTCAAGATTACACAGCCAGAGAGCCTTTCTCCACAGGGCTAGTGAGGCTTGGAGCATCCTACTCCAATTTGCCTTACTTGAATTTTGACCTACCTGAGATTGTATAATGTCTTAAAAATCTGATTTTTTAAGAGGAGGGACAGTGTTCTGTGACCCATCTATCTCCAGATAGCTCAGATGGTGAACTAATTCAGCCAACCCCCTATCTCCTAACTAATACCCACACTGAAACAACTCAATAATAAAAACACGAATAGCTCCATTAGAAAATGGACAAAGCAGGCCAAGCGCAGTGGCTCACACCTGTAATTCCAGCACTTTGGGAGGCCTAGGTGAGTAGATCACTCGAAGCCAGGAGTTCAAGACCAGCCTGGCCAACATGGTGAAACTCCGTCTCTACTAAAAATACAAAAATTAGCCGGGCAAGGTTGCACATGTCTGTAATCCCAGCTACTTGGGAGGCTGAGGCAGGAGAATTGCTTGAACCTGGGAAGCGGGGGTTGCAATGAGCTGAGATTGTGCCACTGCACTCCAGCCTGGGCAACAGAGTGAGACCCTGTCTCAAAAAAAAAAAAAAAGGAGAAAAAGAAAGAAAGAAAAGAAAATGGACAAAGCTGCTGGGCACTGTGGCTCACGCCTGTAATCCCAGCACTTTGGAGGCCAAGGTGGGTGAATCACTTGAGGCCACGAGTTTGAGACCAGCCTGGCCAACATAGTGAAACCCCATCTTTACTAAAAATAAAAAATTATTATAAAAATTAGCTGGGCGTGGTGGTTCGCGCCTGTGGTCCCAGCTACAAGGGAGGCTGAGGCAGGAGAATCGTTTGAACCCGGGAGGTAGAGGTTGCAGTGAGCCGAGATCCCGCCACTGCACTCCAGCCTGGGGCAACAGAGCGAGACTCCGTCTCAAAAAAAAATTTTTTTTTAGTAAAAGAAAAAGAAAATAAAACCTACTTCAAAGGGTTTTAAGAACACCATGTGAAAAAAGAATTCTACTATAACAAAATAAATATTAGCAATCTCTTCAATTTGTTTCTTTAAAAGCTGAAGGCTGATATTTAGGGGGAAGTGTTCTAATGTCTGCAATTTACTTTTTGAAATGCATCTGAAAAATAAGATGGGGCCAGGCACGGTGGTTCACAACCGTAATCCCAGCATTTTGGGAGGCCGAGGCGGGCGGATCACGAGGTCAGGAGATAGAGACCAACCTGGCTAACACGGTGAAACCCTGTCTCTACTAAAATACAAAAAATTAGCCAGGCGTGGTGGTGGGCGCCTGTAGTCCCAGCTACTCGGGAGGCTGAGGCAGGAGAATGGCGTGAACCCAGGAGGCGGAGCTTGCAGTGAGCCCAGATCACGCCACTGCATTCCAGCCTGGGCGACAGAGCAAGACTCCGTCTCAAAAAAAAAAAAAAAAATTAAAAAGAGAACAAGAAAAAGAAAAAATAAGATAGTTTGAAGGATGGAAAGAGGGATGAATAGATGGACAGATATGCAATGAAACCAATAGAGTAAAATGTGAATAACAGAATCTAGCTGATAGATAAATGTGTGTCCACTGTAAAAGCATTTGAACTTTTAAGTACTAAAGTTTTTCAGAATAAAATTTTGAGGAAAATGGGGAGAGGTGCCACTTGCATTTTACAAAATATGAACATGCTTCTCCCCTCCCCCGCTTAGTTAGACGCGCGCTCCTTTCTGGTCTGATTGCGTTAGCAAGTCACCTTGCAGCCCTGCCCAGCGATTCGGTCCGGTGGGTGCCCAGGATAACACGCGCCAGCCTTCGCCGCTTGCGAAATGTTCAGGGCTCTTGCCGCCAGAGGGCGCGCCCGCGGAGCGCTGAGCGCCAGGGCGCCAGGGGCTGGGTGGCCCGCGCCGGGAAGTGACAGACTCCGGAGCGGACTTTGCCCGGGGGTGGGTCCCAGGCCAGCTGCTACTGCAAGTACCTGCAGAAAACAGCTCTTCGAACCGGACAGTGCGAGAGTCAGCGCCTGCTGCCTGGCCGGGCAGAGATTCTGATGAAGAAGAGAGAGGAAACTGAGTGTGCTGAGGCAGTGTCAGACAATGCTAAATGCTTTCCTAGCACTTATTTCACGTTTTAGTTATAAATCAGCCTGAAAATAGAACGGTAGTGGAAGTGCGAAGGACATGCATTTCATTCCCGGCAGAGGCTGCCCAATCAGGACTCCTGGTCCTCTGAAGACAAAGCAGCTTTTTTGGGGTAGGGAGCGGGGGCGGGATAGCATGCTTCCCCCGCCCTTTCCCCCATGAGCAAAGGGGCTCAGAGTAGCTGTGTCCCCTGAGCTGAGGTGGCAGCTCCTGTGGGTGCCCTGGGACCTCACTCAGCATCTTCAAAGAGCCTGTGCACCCTGCTCCTTCCAGCTTCTTCGTGGAGGGCTGGAGAAGTTGTGAACCTTTGTCAAAAGACAGAAGCACAAACTTAAAGATCTAATTGGCTTTTATTTGCAATTCTAGAAGTGAGCAACACCTCATCCTATAAAATGAGCTGAGCACAGGAGGTTGGCTTTGCAGGCAGAGAAGAGCGGCAGAAAGCAGAAACAGAACAAAACACGGACTGATCATGTCAAAGTTACTTTCCCTACAGGGTTAAAGCAGAGGGGACTTCCTTATTACTTAGGTTGATGCAGATTAAATGGAATGTTTTAGGGGAACTGGCCCATTTCAAAGTTCAGTTTGATGACACTGCACTTAGCACAACTGACTCCATTCTGGTGTCTGGCCTGCTGGGGCCTAGTGCAGGAGACTAGTTCCATAACAACAGCCTCCCATAAATGATGTTTCACACCTCAAACCCTTCCTCACCTCCAGTCATCCCAATGCTCCCACTGACCCAAGTATTTTCTCAGACTATTTGGTTCCCCAGCCACCAGAGAATCAGGCATAAATCATAAGTCACTCTGTATTTTAAGACCATAATCATGCTGGGTGCAGTGGCTCATACCTATAATTCCAGCACTTTGGGAGACCAAGGCAGGTGGATCACCTGAGGTCAGGAGTTCGAGACCAGCCTGTCCAACATGGTGAAACCCCGTCTCTACTAATAATACAAAAATTAGCTGGGCGTCGTGGCAGGCACCTATAATCCCAGCTACTCAGGAGGCTGAGGCAGGAGAATCGCTTGAACTGGGAGGCAGGGGTTGTAGTGAGCCGAGATCATGCCACTGCACTCCACCTGGGAGTCACAGCGAGACTTTGTCTCAAAAAAAAAAAAAAAAAGAGAGAGAACCAGATATCAAGAGTACTTATAAACCCTATAATTCAATTTATATAAAACTGTAGAAAAAATAATCATGACAGAAGAAGATGAATGCTTGCCTTGGGCCATTGGCTGGGGTGTCAAATGGAATGGGGCACAAGAGAACTCTGGGGGGCAATGGAAATGTTTGTTCTGTATTTTCATTGTGGTAGCGGTCACATGTATGTAAAAACTTGTTAACATTCAATGAAAAGTTTGCTTGAAAAAAAAAAAACCTGCCTTCCATTACTCTAATCTTCATATCTGGGGTGTTCTTCCTATTGCGATTGTGTGAACAAAATCAATTGCTCTACTTGTTCAGTTTTTCCAGGTTTCTCTACTCCATGTTCCAGAAGCTACCAACTGGGAGTGTGCAGACTGACGCACAATCGTTTCCTGGCAACTCCCCAGTAGAAGCTAAGGTGTATCTGCTTCCTGCTAGGATCCTGACCCGGGACGAGGGCCCACCTCTCTGCCTGCCTCCTTTAAGGGACGCCTCCTGCTCCACAAGTTTCTGTCCTCCCTCTGAGGGAGCCCTGGAATGTGCTCCATCTACACTACTAGGGCCACGTGGACTATCCTAGGAGTTGGGAGGGCAGGGTGCAGCTGGGGAGGGAATGCTCGCAGAGAATGGGGTTGGGGTGGCTTTGGCAAAGAATGCACTTGGGGTCTGTAAAGAGGTCAGAGAAGAGCAGGGCCACCTTTGCTCATATCAGATGCTGCTTGGCCACCCACACCTGACCCTAGCTCTAAAAGCCAGTGTGTGGAGGGTCTGATTCTGTAAACTGGATGAAAGAGCAGGGAGGATTGAATGAAGAAGATACAGGAGGAGCACAGGCTACCTGGGCAGGGGGCATTTCACTGAGGTATTCTTTCAGCAAGCTTTAATTGAACAAACACAGTGGAATCTCAATGGTCTTTATGGAGTGAGTGCAGGAAAGAAAGAATGAATGAATGAATGAATGAAGATAAGATAAGATCCCTGCACTCTCAGAACTCACCTTCTAGATAAGAAGACAATTCAAATACAAAAATACCAGTAACACAGAATGGTATATGAGAGGTACCATAAAATTTTATGGAAACGAACAGAAGAGAAAAATCACTTCTAGCAACACTGCAGGGCCATCCTACCCCTTATGAGTGTTGATGCAAATTAGAAGGAGCTTACCTGAACAGACCCAGCCTCCTGGGCCCAGCGGCCTGCAAACAAAGAGCAAATGCTTTTATGCCACTCTGCTCCTCAGCCAGGCATCCTGGTGCAGGACTCAGCCTGCTTCTCTGTGAGTGGCAGCCAGGGCTTCATGGAGGAGATGACATTGGAGTTTGCTGGAAGAACAGAGAAGACAGAGAGGACTTAGACCAGTGGGGAGGTGGGGAAGGTGGCAAGGGAGCAGATTAGAGGAGAGAAGAGGATATTCCAGGCAGAAGGATGGGTGCACCAGGATCCTGGAAGCAGGGGATAAAGAGATCTTACAGGAGTGTTAAGATTCTGCTGGGGCTGTCCCCTGGAAGGCCATAGGGGCACTTATCTTTGTAGTGGGTGTCCTCAGGTCACATGCTCAGGCCAGCCAAGCAGGGCAGCCCAGTGACTAGAGAGCATAGGCCTGGGAACTCTTATGAGTTGAATTTTGTCCCCCCAAAATTTATACGTTGGAACCCTAACCCCCAGTGTCTCTGAATATGACTGTACTTGGAGTTAGGGTCTTTAAGGAGGTAATAAGTTCGAATGAGGTCACAGAGCAGGGCCCTAATCCAACAGAACTGCTGTTCCTAAGAAAAGGAAGGCACACCAGGATGTGTCAGCACAGAGAAAAGACCGTGTAAGGACCCCATGAGTAGGCAGCCATCTGCAAGCCAAGGAGAGAGGCCCCAGAAGAAGCCAGACCTGCCAAAACCTTGATCTTGGAACTCCAGCCTCCAGAACTGTGTGAAAATAAGCTTCCATTATTGAAGCCCCCAGTCGGTGTTGGCAGCCTGAGCAAACGAACACAGGAGTCAACATCAGGCTCCTAACTTCCTCACTGTGTGTCCTGAATGAGTCATGTAGCCTAGCTCAGTTTGTTTTCTGATCTGATATGGAAAGCAAAGGTAGAAACGCCCAGGGTGGCAATGAAGCTTAAGTGAAATTGCACTTGTAAAATAGGCAGCTGGCAAGTACGCAGATGTTGACAGAATAGTCTGGTTTCTAAAATGAGATGCAGGCCGGGCACGGTGGCTCATGCCTGGAATCCTAGCACTTTGGGAGGCCAAGGTGGGCAGATCACCTGAGGTCAGGAGTTCAAGGCCAGCCAGGCCAACATGGTGAAACCCCATCTCTACTAAAAATACAAAAAAAATTAGCTGGGTGTGGTGGTGCCTGCCTGTAATCCCAGCTACTCTCAAAAATAATAGTAATAATAAAAAATAAATAAAATGAGATACAGGCACCCTGTGGGGGTGAGGAGGGGAGAAAATTCACTGGAGTGGAGGAAGAAAAGATAAGAACTTATTTCTTTTTCTTTTTCTTTTTTTTTTTTGAAACAGAGCCTCACTCTGTTACCCAGGCTGGAGTGCAGTGGCGCGGTCTCTGCTCACTGCAACCCCTGCCTCCCAGGTTCAAGCAATTCTCCTGCCTCAGCCTCCCAAGTAGCTGGGACAACAGGCACCTGCCATCACGCCCAGCTAATTTTTGTATTTCCAGAACAGACGGGGTTTCACCATATTGGCCACGCTGGTCCCAAACTCCTTACCTTGTAATCCACCTTCCTCGGCCTCCCAAAGTGCTAGGATTACAGGCGTGAGCCACCGCACCTGGCCAATAACTTATTTTTTATAGTTAGTTCTTTTTTTCTTGAGACGGAGTTTCACTCTCGTTGCCCAAGCTGGAGTGCATTGTTGTGATCTCGGCTCACAGCAACCTCCGCCTCCAGGTTCAAGCAATTCTCCTGCCTCAGCCTCCTGAGTAGCTGGGATTACAGACACGTGCCACCACGCCTGGCTAAGTTTTTTAGTTTTTTTGTAGAAACACGGTTTCACCATGTTAGCCAGGCTGGTCTTGAACTCCTGACCTCAGGTAATCTGCCCGCCTTGGCCTCCCAAAGTGCTGGGATCACAGGCGTGAGCCACCGTGCCCAGCCAATATAGTTATTAGTTATTTCTTTTCTTTCTTTTTTTTTTTTGAGACAGAGTCTCACTCTGCTGCCCAGGCTGGAGTGCAGTGGCGTGATCTCAGCTGACTGCAACCTCTGCCTCCCGGGTTCAAGCAGTTCTTGTGCCTCTGCCTCAGCCTCCCGAGTAGCTGGGACTACAGGTGTGCACCACCACGCCCGGCTAATTTTTGTAATTTCAGTAAAGACAGAGTGTCACCATATTGGCCAGGCTGGTCTCGAACTCCTGACCTAGTGATCAGCCCACCTCTGCCTCCCAAAGTGCTGGGATTACAGATGTGAGCCACTGCATCCAGTGCAATATAGTTATTTCTTAAATTTATTTTTATAGTTATTCTTATGTCCCCATTTTACATTTCTCTTTTTATATATGGCTTTAATGAGCATAATACATTAATGTTTATAATTTATGAAAAAGTATCATCCTTGTAATTTCTACTTTGTGCATGGTTTTAAGGTACACCCTATATAAATCCAGTGCTAACTGTATAAACTATATGACTAAACAGATTTGCATGTAGTAGGGATGCATGATTTTTTTTTTTTTTTTTTTTTTAGAGAGAGTCTGGCTCTGTCACCCAGGCTGGAATGCAATGATGCGATCTCGACTAACTGCAACCTCCACCTCCAGGCTCAAGCGATTCTCCTGCCTCAGCCTCCTAAGTAGCTGAGATTACAGGCATGCGCCACCACACCTGACTAATTTTTGTATTTTTAATAGAGATGGGGTTTCACCATGTTGACCAGGCTGGTCTCCAACCCCTGACCTCAGGTGATTTCCCTTCCTCGGCCTCCCAAAATGCTGGGATTACAGGCATGAGCCACCACACCCGGCCTGGACAAGTTTTAAGACCTTCGAGGTGGAAGCTCAAGCTGCCTTTATGAGAGTCTTTTGGAGATTCTAGCAGTGAGTGAGGGCCTTCAAACACTGAACA